>NC_000005.10:89503746-89806776 GCF_000001405.40 Homo sapiens
TGCTTTGTGGGTGAATATGCCACCACCAGTCTGAGCCTGAAATTCCTCATTCTGTGAAACTGGAACCTGCTGTATTCACAGAATAATTAGGATGATGAAGAGGGGCCACACACTTAAGATTCCTATACAACATAAGATATTCTTTTAAAGAGTAGTGTATTTCACAGTAGAACCATCTAGATCAACCGTGGCTGATGGTTCAACTATGACTCATTCAACTGATCTTTTAGAATCCATTAGAGACAAATCAATATTTATTCTTGCTGGATAATCCTACATTGTGAAAACAACTTTTAACTAAGGTTTATTTTTATTAAAATAAACATTTTTACCAAGGTGCTCTAAAATTTGTAGCAGAACAAATTCAGAAATGATAGCCAATTGTCTAAAAACCTTTCATTTTATCATCTTTAATTTACCATTAAATTAAAGTTGCAGTGCAGTCTTTACACCTAGTATAGTAATGATTAAAGTTATGGTCAGAGTTAATTAATTGATGACTCAGCTGTGGCCAAGCACTGTACTAAACACAATGATACTTATAGTAATCTATGAGACTGGAGATTCACACTTTTTAAAAATGAGAAGTCTGATCTTTAGAGAGATTAGGTAACTTTTATTCCAAAGTCATAGCTAAGTGGATTTGAGCTCAGATCTTTTTGATCCGGATATTCATTCTCTCAATCATGGCACTCTCTCTCCCAAAAGCATACTGTACTGGGATCAATCTATATTTATAGGTGTGTGTGTGTGTGTGTGTGTGTGTCATGTGTGTGTGTGTGTGTGTGTGTATATATATATATATATATATATGACATAAGTAGCATGAGGGAAGCAAGGCTGGGAAGCAAAAAAGGCTAAATGCAGAATGGCCATTATTAAAAAGTCAAAAAAAAGCAATAGATATTGGCATGGATGTGGTGAAAAGGGAATGCTTATACACTGCTGGTGGGAATGTAAATTAGTAAAACCTCTATGGAAAATAGTATGGAGATTTCTCAAGGAACTAAAAGTAGATGTACCATTTTATCTAGCATTCCCACTACTGTGTATCTACCCACAGGAAAATAAGTCTATATCAAAAAGACATCTGCATGCATATGCTTATCACAGCACAATTCACAAATGTAAAGATATGGAATAAACTTAAGTGCATATCAATCGATGAGTGGATAAAAAATGTGGTATATACACACCATGAAATATTACTTAGCCATTAAAAAAGAATGGAATAATGTCTGTTGCAGTAAGTTGGATGGAGCTGGAGACCATTAGTCTAAGTGAAGTAACTCAGGAATGGAAAACCAAATACTGTATGTTCTCACTTTTAAGTGGAACCTGAGCTATGTCTACACAAAGGGCTATAGAGTGGTATAATGGACACTGGAGTCTCCAAAACATGGAGGGAGGAAGGGAGCTGAGAGATGAAAAACTATCTATTGGATGCAATGTACGCTACTCAGGTAATGGGTGCACTAAAATCTCACCACTATACAATTCATGCATGGAACAAAAATCTAGTTATACCCCAAAAGGTATTGAAATAAAAATATATGAAATAAATCTAAAAAAGAAAAAACTATGGGAACTAGGAAAAAAATACACAGTTATAGGGTATCCAGCAACTACTACTATCTGGTTGGAGATACTAAATATTCACTCATGAGTTGGACTTAAACATATTTACAAGTTAATTATAACCATAATGATATGTGGGATATCATCAAATCTATTAATGTCAGTTCAGGCCCATATCCCTGACCTTTAGGACCAGATAGCTAAGTACTTCCTGAACACCTGTATATTCCCAGATGTATGACCTTCAAGAACAACGTGCCAAAAATCTAAACTCCTATGTGCCCAACCACCTTCCTCTTCACACCAAATTATTCTCCTATATAGTCTGTTTGCAAGAAATGTAGTATTTACGTTAGACACCAGGTATTTGCTGACAATATCTGGTTCCTTCATTATCTTCTAATCAGTCATAAATTCCTATAGTCTAACTTCTTAAAATCTATTTTTTCCAGCTTTAATAACACTGCTTTCATTTAGACTTTCATTTTCTTTTACCTAAGCTATTGAAATTTCAATTTATTCACTAAATACTTATTGAAATTTACCAGGTGCCAGAAACTGCTCTTGATGCTGAGGATACAGATGAAAGTCTTGTCTTCCTCAAGCTTACATTCTAGTGGGAAGAAATGGAAAGTAAAAATAAATATGATAGATAAGTGAATTACATACATATTAAAATATGATAAATGCTGCTTGATCTCATCATGCTGATCTATCACCTGCCACATCACTGGATTTAACTTCCCAAAATATATCTCACTATATTAGGTCCCTACTGTTTCCAAGCTCAGATTTCTTAGCATAGCACTTAATGTGCCAAAAGATAAAGCTTGTTATTTGAGCAGAGTCAACTCATGTCACCTTAGGTTTCATTTTTATAAAACTATTTTCATTTTGAAAGTTCATCATGATGTTTTATACCTCTTGCATGTGCTGCTTCTTCTCCAGTTTAGATTGCAAGCTTTCTTCTATCCCTTTTTCTGGGTGGACACTTAACGAGATTTAGACTTAGTTCATGTTAATAGCTCTCTGAAGACTTCCTGGAACTCACATACAAGGGAGACATGAGATTACAGTATCTCCAGTGTATTCCAATGGCATCCCATGCCTACTTCTGCCATCCCACCTACAATATTATATTGAATATTTTGATACAAGATGCCTGTATCAGTCCTTCAGCTCCTGGACTTCATGGACCATATTTGCATTGCCAGTATCTAACAAAGTACTTGCCATAAGCTGGGTATGAGATTAATATTTGCTAAATGAACAAATTAACTATACCATATTGAGGAATTAAAAATTGTCACAACCAGGACCCTGTGTTTTAATCATTGAAAAAAAATCTTATCTCAATAAATGCAGAAAAAGCTTTTTTATAAAATTCAACATGACTTCATGTTAAAACCTCTTAATAAACTAGATATTGAAGGAACATACCTCAAAATAATAAGAGCCATCTGTGAAAAACCCATATCCAACATCATACTGAATGGGCAAAAGCTGGAAACAATCCCCTTGAAAACCAGCACAAGACAAGGATGCCCTCTCTTACCACTTCTATTCAACATATTATTGGAGGTCCTAGCCAGAGGAATCAGGCAAGAGAAAGAAATAAAGGCATCCAAACAGGAAGAGAGGGAGCCAAACTATCCCTGTTTGCAGGTGACATGATTTTCTATCTAGAAAGCACCATAGTCTCAGCTCAAAAGCTCCTTCAGCTGATAAACAACTTCAGCAAAGTTTCAGAATACAAAATCAATATACAAAAATCACTAGATTCCTATACACCAACAACAACCAAATGGAGAGCCATATCAGAGAGCCAATCCCATTCACAATTGCCACACACAAAAATAAAGTACCTAGGAACACAACTGACCAGGGAGGTCAAAGATCTATCCAATGAAAATTACAAAACACTGCTCAAAGAAATCAATGACACAAACAAATGGGAAAATATCCCATGTTCATGGATAGGAAGAATCAATAACATTAAAATGGCTATACTGCTCAAAGCAATTTACAGATTCAATGCTATTCCTATCAAACTACCAATGACATTCTTCACAGAACTAGAAAAAAATATTTTAAAATTTATGTGGAACCAAAAAAGAGCCTAAATATCCAAGGCAATTCTAAGCAAAAAGAACAAAGCTGAAGAAATCACATTACCTGATTTCAAACTATACTACAAGGCTACAGTGGCCAAAACAGTGGTACTGGTACAAATACAGTCACTTAAACCAATGGAACAGAATAGAGAGCCCAGGAATAAGGCTGCACATCTATGACCATCTGATCTTCGACAAAGCTGACAAAAACAAGCAATGGGGAAAAGACTCCCTATTCAATAAATGCAGAAAATTGAAGCTGGACCCCTTTGTTACCCCATATACAAAAATCAACTCCAGATGGATTAAAGACTTAAATTTAAAACCCAAAAGTAAAAAACTCTGGAAGACAGCCTAGGCAATACAATCCTGGACATAAGAACAAGCAAAGACTTCATGACAAAGACACTAAAAGCAATTGCAACAAAAGCAAAAATTGACAAATGGGATCTAATTAAACTTAAAGAGTTTCTGCATAGCAAAATAAACTATCAATAGAGTAAACAACCTACATAATGGGAAAAATATTTGCAAACTATGCATCTGACAGAGGTCTAATATCCAGCATCTATAAGGAACTTTAAAATTTTTACAAGAAAAAAACAACCACATTAAAAAGTAGGCAAAGGACATGACAGACACGTCTCAAAAGATGACATACATGCAGCCAACAAACATGAAAAAAAGCTCAACGTCACTGATCATCAGAGAAATTCAAATCAAAACCACAATGAGATGCCATCTCATACCAGTCAGAATGGCTACTATTAAAAAGTCAAAAAACAACAGATGCTGGTAAAATTGCAAAGAAAAGAATACTCTTATACACTGTTAGGTGTGGTGTAAAATAGTTCAACCACTGTGGAAAGCAGTATGGTGATTCCTCAAAGAGCCAAAAGCAGAACTACCATTCAACCCAGTAATCCCATTGCTGGGTATACATGCAAAGGAATATAAAACATTCTACCATAAAGACACATGCACATGAATGTTCACTGCAGCACAGTTCACAATAGCAAAAACATGGAATCAACCTAAATTTCCATCAATTACAGATGGGATTAAGTAAATGTGGTACATATACACCATGGAATATTATGCAGCCACAAAAAGAACGAGATTGTGTCTTTTGCGGAACATGGATGGATCTGGAGGCTATCATCATCAGCAAACTAATGCACAAACAGAAATCCAAATACCAGATGTTCTTACTTATAAGTGGGAGCTAAATAATAAGAACTTATGATACAAAGAAGGGAACAAGAGACACTAGGGTCTACTTGAGGTGGGAGGGTGGAAAGAGGGAGAAGACAAGAAAGATAATTATTGGGTACTGAGCTTAATACCTGGGTGATGTAATAATATGTACAACAAACTCCCATGACACGTGTTTATCTAACAAACCTTCACATGTACCCCCAAAACTAAAATAAAAATTTTTTAATAGGAAGAAAATAATCTTTCTAAAAATCGCTTACTTTGCCTCACAGAATATAATCATCATAGCTTACATTCACAGCCACATTTTATATGTCAGGCACTGTCCTGTGCACTTCATATGTATTATTCCATTTAATTCTCACGAGAACCTTTGGAAGTAGGTGCTGCCATTATTATTTTTCATAGATGAGGAAACAGACACAGAAGTTAAGCGGTCTCTTGAAGTCTGACTTCCAGACCCAGCCTCTGGAGCCCTACATGTACTATCTTCCCCTACATAATTATGTATTACATTTATTCATGGATGGTCCCCCAAATTAAAGATGAACTGAGAACTTCTAAAATAACTGATTTATCTGACTGATGGAGATTATCATATTGGATGATATGATATGACTGCTCCCAATCCTCATCTGAGCCTCACTTCTAATTTACTTTGAAGGTTAAAACTGTCATATTTTCAATTCCTTTTACAAAAACTCTCATTTACATATAATTTACACATAGTTTCACTAGAACTATTTATTCTTTTAAAATCAGGGTAGGCAATAATTTTACATAAAATAATTTTACATAAGCCCACATTTTAAGAAAAGTATATATTTCTTGTTACACAGAGAAATTGCCTGGCAGATATAAAATTATTACTAAGTCTATATACATGTGTTTGAATATGGAAGTACTTAGCTGCATGGTTTCAAATATATAGAACACTCCTTTTTAAATATAATCAAATGGTTGCACATACATGCAAACCTGTTATATTCTATTTATACTTCTAACTGCAGAATCTAGAAACAGGCCTAATAACTTTTTACAATGAAAACACCATATTTGTGAAAAAATTAATTCAGCTTTTACTTCCCTTGACCCATGCATGGGCCTTAGGTAGGTATAGTCCTAGATATAAAAAGGAGAGAAAACAATCCTCCTTTTTATTCTACTTTTTCTTAGCCATGTGAAGCCCTGAGTAAAACTGTGGAAAAAATGTGAAAATTGTTTGTGTCATCACCAGACCAGTCATTCATTTCAGGGATTGCAGGTAGGATGCCACAATAGGGGAATTTTAGGCACCAGAAAACTGTTGGTAGTCATGCCATGAAAATCAGAGGGGGATTCAGGAGGACAATTAAATCTATTGTGAAAATGAAGGCTTTTCATTCCAAAAAATAAAAATGGCATGAGTGAAATAGAGTGAAGCAGGAAACACACAGCATGTGAACGCATGAAGACAGACACAGATGACAAGAAGCAGGCTCTGCTATGCTTGTTTTAATTATGGATCCTGTGCAATCCCTGGTTGCACTGAACTTAGAATAAGATGAATACACAAAATTTACATTCTATTCTCCTTAAATTCACTGCTTAGTATCTTTAGGTGTTCTTCTTATTGAAGACTTTTATGGTTAATTATTTTTAATTAATGCCTGCTTCATCCCTTTTGTTAGAACCAGACACTCTTAAAACCTAAGGTTATATTTTAGTCATCTTTGTATCCTAATTATATAGCATAGTGTTTATTTTATAATGCAAGTTCTATGTATAAATAAATATTCACTGGATAAACAAATGAGTATCTTTAGCAGTGGGGTCACTGACTTTGTTATACTCGTCTGTTTAGTAATTTATGCTCTGAGCATGGTAACTTTGAATATTGGCCTTAAATATATGAATATTGTGATAGCACCTTTTAAAATGATGGACCTGCCACCATACTTAGCCTTCCTCTGGGAATTGTCTCCAATGCAGACAGGAGAGGTTCCTTTTAGTAGTTTTATTCATCCTTCCTGAATGTGTGAATTGGTCACAGATAATTGATGCAGGATTATTCACCAGATTTGAACTGATCCAATCAGCCTCTCTCTTTCCGGATGTTTGGTAAATGAAAACCCAAAGCTGAATGTCATTGGAGTAAATTCTCACTACCTTAAAAGCATTGCGTTGTAGTTTAGCTCCCTCTTTCTTAAGTCCTGATTACTTCGTTATTTTCTTAAATTTCATAAACAATGTTTCTGTTCCTTGACCATTTTTTCTCTTAAACTAGCCAGAGGGTTTTTATGCCTTATGAATAGAAAGAACATAACTGTTAGCTATATTAGTGAGGAACGAGTCTCCACCCTTTCTTTTGCTCTTCTCATTTTCTATAGAAAACTGACTGTTGTGCTTTAAATGTCATATTCTGTCTTCATGAGACCTCAAATTTTCAGCTCTGTTTAAATTTTCAGGCCCAATTTCTAGTCCATGAATGGCACAGGTGTATTCTTTCAAGAGATTCTAAAATATTGGGAAGGGTGATAAGGTCAAAGATTTAAAAAGAGTATCAAGGCTGTCATTCACCAAGAGAAATTCTTTGACAAGGAAGCCTAAGTTTTATTATGATTTCTATGGTTACCATTTTCATCCCAGAGATTAAAAAAAGAGACCAGTTCTTTTGCAATTTTTTTTTTTGCTTTTCCCTCAGGGAGAACAATCTGTTTCCTTCTGAATTTCTGTTATCCTGTTCTTTACCCTTCTTTTATACTGTTCTTTGAAGTTACAAAGTCCTAGTTCGCTTACACAAGACCATTTAGTTAGAGGTAATGTGGGATAGGCCTTCAACTTGAAACACTAGCACAAGTGGAACAAAAAGATACAGGTATCAGGCAAAAAATAATTTCAGATATACTGCTTGAATTAAAAAATAAAATTCTGTTATAGAATTTAAAATAAAGCAAAGCTGTTGTTTAACAAAATGGCCAAGAAGTAACAAGTATTGAATACTACTATTGGGGTGATAGTAAAGGTAGGTAAATAGTATACAGTATAAAGATATTACAGGAATTTTTCATTTTATAATGTTTATTGAAGGAATAATACACCTAGAAAATCAGAGACTCTAAATGTATTGAAATACATTAACTAGACTTTAATTTTCCTGTGAATTGATCATTTAATTTTGACAGGGTGATAATTTAGGGAAAAAAAAAGAAAACTTGAGTGTTGATACAAAACTAGGACTGAATTTTTCCCAATTTGTCCTACTCAGCCTTCTCAAAGTACTATCAATCCCTTTATGTTAGAACCAGTAACACATGCTTTGAAATTAAAATTAAGTACCCACCTAATTTATGATTAGTGTTATGAAGACCAGATTACCTAATTCAAAATCTCCAGTTCCAGATGTTATCTTTCTTTTTTTTTTTCTTTTTTTTTTTTTTTGAGATGGAGTCTTGCTCTGTCACCCAGGCTGGAGTGCAGTGGCGTGATCTCGGCTCACTGCAAGCTCCGTCTCCCAGGTTCACGCCATTCTCCTGCCTCAGCCTCCCAAGTAGCTGGGATTACAGGGGCCCGCCACCACGCCTGGCTATTTTTTTATTTTTTAATTTTTTTGTATTTTTAGTAGAGACGGGGTTTCACAGTGTTAGGCAGGATGGTCTCGACCTCCTGACCTTGTGATCCGCCTGCCTCAGCCTCCCAAAGTGCTGGGATTACAGGCATGAGCTACCGCGCCAGGCCCCAAATGTTATCTTTCTTTATAACCCAGGAAAGTACAAAGATTGCAGCTAAATCCTTTGTATTTGGGAAAATATTGTCTTGAAAACTGTATATTCAAATTCCTTTTAAAATTTATTGTCATTGTGAAATGTTTGAAACAAAAAAATTAAAATGTCAGGCCCTATTTATTAAAATATAGGTTACATTGGAATCAGATGCATATAATTCCACAAATTACCCGTCAAGTATAAACGTAAGAATGATGATTTCCAAAGTATACACTGCTTTTTGAATTTTATAAAGTACTTTACTCATAAGTTTAAGCAGTTAAATTGGTAAAAACAACGGAAAAAACCTTCGGTTTGTTTTTATTAATGCTATAGCCATTAATAAATATGGTGCTTGTCTCTTCAGTCTGGATCAGAACATTTTTGAAATGTTAACAGTGACTATAAAGGTAAATATTTCATGGACCTTGGACCCTACCCTCACAAAACTTACCACCCAGTGGGAAGAGATTGTAATATAACATATGCCAGTATTTGGGAAATGCCACAATGCTAGTACAGACACCATGCTCTCAGAGTTCAATGAAAGGAAAAAAATGTGTTTAAAATGATGTTTAAGTCTAAAAGTTTTCAGCAGCTATAATTCCTCAAATTCGCTTTGCTATTTAAATCCCTCATTTTTCATTACTGTTGGTTACTTTGAAGCCAGAAGGGATCTTTCAATTAGCTTCTGATCAAATGTGAAGTCTTGCTCTTTAGTAACTTCACTACCCTCTGTGGAAACTGCAAGAATGCTAGTTAATGTTCTTGCAGTTATTATCTTAGCTACCATATCTCATTAACACTTGCTTCACTAAACACGAAGTTCAAAGTTAAATGTCATTCTGTGGCTTCAGGTTCTTAAGGATTGATAACCTGGAGGCATATTAAGAGGAATGTCAGCTGCAGGAAAGTATTGCATTGATTCAGGGTATGCTCCCAGGGACAATGAGACTCTGGCCATATTTACAATTCTTCACCCTCCCACCCACCTACCTACCCCAAAGCAAGGCTTTTAAGACCTATTGGCGTAACTCTCCCACACTCAGGATGTTCCCGGGTTGTAATGTTGCCAGCCTTCAGAAGCTGCCTCTCTCAGGCCACTTGCAAACTCTTGAATTTAGGTCACTCGTAAGCAAGACTTATGAAAGAGTACATAATACCATGATTCAGCTTCCTAATGTGCCTCATGTACTTTTAAGGCATAGATCAGACACCAAGAAATTCTAACTTTATGTACCTTTGAATTTACCAATATTTGGTGCAGCCTTTCTTTAACATTTGTATTTTTTAAAAATACTTGTCCTTACTTTTAGTCAGGTAATTATAATATTATGTAATAATCTTATGTAACAGCTAACTACTATCTACAAGAGGTTAAATACAGATTAGATATGTAATATTTCAGGAATGACTAACCACCTATAAGTGGTTGTGTGTGTGTTTGTGTGTGTGTATGTATTTGATTCTCTAATTGCTAACCACAGTAGTCCTCTAAGCTGATGCTTGCTCTTTGTTGCAGATATTTTTAGGATGCTCCAGTAGAAAGACTGGGCAAATGACATTACTTACATTCATTCACTAAAGGAGCTTTACAAATATACACTAAACTTATGAAAAATGTCCAATCATATTAGTAACAAAATCTTTTAGAGTGGAGCAACAGTATTTTTGTCTGCCAAATATATTTTAATATTCATTGCCAACAAGGGTACACTGAAACAGGCCCTCTTGCATGTTCTTAATGGAATTGGATCAATTTTTCCAGAAGAGTACCATTTTGTGTCAAGAGCCTTGATAGTAACATGAAAAATGGGGGAAGCTGCAAAAAAATTATTTCTCTTTTCTTCTCTTTGTTCTTTGTCTTTCATAGTTTTTAATTGACTTTTGTAGTTTCTTCCTTTACCATTTAATTAAAGAGTTTCCAGCAGAATATTGCAAGAAAACTGCATTGATGATGGAGTCAGAAAGTTGGTTTTATAACATGTGGATATAGAAGTAGACTATGATTTGGTGTTATCTATTTCTAAGGATAGAGTTAAGGTGTGGAATGACTGATTATATCACTTGCATGTTGGAGAAAAAGAGACATATATATTCAAATCAGATACTTGAATGTAATTGACATTTTGATTATAGTTGTTGAATATAACTGATTTTTTTTTATCTGACCAGCATCATTTATTTGGGAGAAATGCCCCTCACTCTGTAGTCTAAGATTTTGATAAATGTTCCACCATATGCAGAGAGCATGATCCAACTTAGGCCAAATACAGTCTCTTTTCTAAGAACATGGATCTTAAATGGAGGCACATAGGGATAGGAAGCAGTTAGGACCAAATCTTTCAATGGCCAACCCATAAGAAACACTTCATTTATTTCTGCCACTGAGGTCACAGGGATTTTTTTCTTATTATCAAGTCCTGGAGGTAACACTCTTATTCTGTGAACTACACAATATTCTTTCAACAAATCTCTTTCTTACTTAAAAAAAAGGAATAAAGAAAGAAAGAAAAGAAAGAAAGTGAAAGAAAGAAAAGAAAGAAAGTAAAAGAAAGAAAAGGAAAGAGAAAGAAAGGAAAGAAAGAAAGAGAAAGAGAAAGAGAGAAAGAAAGAAGAAGGAGGAGGAGGAGAAGGAAGGAGAGAAGGAAGGAAGGAAGGAGAGAGAGAAAGAGAGAGAAAGAAAGAAAGAGAAAGACAGAAACAAAGAAAAAAGAAAGAAAGAAAAAGAAAGAAAGAAAGAAAGAAAGAAAGAAAGAAAGAGAGAGAGAGATGAGGGAGTCGGGGTGGAATGGAGGAAATATTTTGGTCATAATTTTGACCTAGTAATTCAATTTCTGGGATTTTTTTAAATAAAGTTATAAGACATTAATGGGAACATTTACTTACAAGGTAATTACTACCAGCATTATCTATAAAGGTGAAAAATAAAAATACATGAAGAGGACGTTATGGAACACCATGTTACATTTAAAACAATAGTTTTAAATAATATCTTAACATTGGAAATGATTGTGTTACCCAGCCATAACAAAACAAAGCGAAAACTAAAATACAAACTATATATTATAATCCCAATGAAACAGACACGTTCATATACACAGAATATCATCCGATGTGCTGAAAGAAAATCTACCAAACGTCTACAGTGATAAATTATGGGGTACAGAAATGTTTGATTTACTAATTTTAATAAAATGCCATTATCAGTTGAATTATGCCAAAACACTTTTAATTTTTCTTTGTTTCCATATTATAGCTCAATAAAAAAATGGCAATTTTTACTCAGTAACGAAAAATAGAACAGTGATTTAGATTTCACAGCTTTCATAGTGAGACTATGAACTTTTCCCACTTTATAATTAATTTCATCTAATTCAAAACTAAAAAACAATTTTGTCTTCTAAGTATCTGAGCCAGAGATAGAGAAGTTGGTGGGGTATGACTATATATCAGAGTTAAGTCTCTCTCTCTGATCTATCTTTCTAGCTAACTGTATCTGTGCCTCTCCGATCTCTTACTGCAAATTTATTCCTATCCTACCCTTCCTCCTCTATATCATATTCCCTTATCACCTCTGTCCATTAACTCCCACACGGGGCCTGTCCATACATACACTATTATTCTTTCTAGCTATCTTAATGTCCTTTACTTCACACATTCAAAATAGTAATATTAATAAAAAATTGTTGCTTCTTATCTGATTTTAAAAAGTTTTAATGTCACTGTCATAATATTTTCTTTTTTTTTCATTTCCATGACACGTTAAAGAGATCTTTCCTGAAAAACTATTATTTAGAATACCAATTCTAAAAATAAGAAGAGTTTTTGCATTAAAAACAATTAGATGAAAAAAATAATCTTTGGGGAAAATAAAGGTGAAGCCTTTTTGTACTTCACTCAGCTTATATAACAAAATTTTTACATGCATTCTAAGTGGTCTTCTGCTGTTTGGGCACATTATCTCATCAACTGAAGGTTTCTATTCTTTGTTCTTTTAAAGCAAGGACTATTATTCTATCCCCAATGTTTCCTCTGCACAGTGCTTTTCAGGATAGCTTATCTAAAGTAGTAGCTTAAAATATGCTTTCTAATCTTCTTTATTATAATTGTATACCATGATTCAGAATTTTGTAATAACTTATGTTCAAAGCCATTAACAGCAGTATCTGTGGAAACAGTGAATACTGAAGCAAACCACAGAGTAAATTTTACCTGTTCCCAGTATGAAAACCTACTGATCTCATATGTGGGTCATTTTCGCCTGGTCTGTCAAATAATGAGTTTATCTGGACCTCAAAGTTTTTCTCTTTACAAAATAGAATATTTTACCATTTAAAATTCAAAATGGGATCTAAATTATATAAGGAGAAGTGGGCTTCAAAAACCCTCTTTATTTATCTCTTATTTAAAGTAGGAGTTGTCACTTTATATGCACCAGCCTAAGATGTAATTGTGTGAAACAATTCATTTCAGTAAAAGGAAAACAAAAGTTATTTTTTAAAGAATCTCTAAATTTGTACTTATAAGACTTCTACTGCTATTCTACTATTTAAGAATGAGATGGGAATACACCCTCTCTCTTCTTTCCCTTTCTAAATATCTATCTACCTATATATATCTATACACACACATACACACAAATATACATATGATTTTCTTATCTCAAAAAATTAAAGAGTAAACTTAAAAAAAAAAGAGTTGTTACCTTACAGAAGAGAACAACAACAAATTGAAGGAAGCAGAACTAAAGAGAGACTTATCAAAAATATGCCTTCTTGTAACTATTGGATTTTGGATTCATTAAAATGTTCAAACATAATTTATAAAACAAGTTAAGTTGAAGTAAACAGAATCAATACCTAAAATCAAAAGCAAAATGAAACAAAAGTAACCAAATGGTATGCTGTATTGGCAAAACCACACAGGGAGAAATTATTTTATGTGGCTTTAAACTCATAACTAAGCTTTTGGCAAAATTTCCCTGGTAGTGTATATCTTAAAGACAAAATAAAAAGGTACTGGGGAAAAAACATAAGCAGCTTTCATTAATTGTACTGTTTATAAGAATGCTAGTAGTGCTACTCAGAGACTATTATGTGCAATGATGAGATAAAGTGAATCAATCATTATGTGGTGTCATTTACATCTTGGGTTTTCCCTGAGGAGAAAGGAGATACAAATAAAAATGGAGGTTAATTAAAACACAAGTAATTTTGAATTTGAGTTGAAAGTATCAAGAAGATCATGACCTTTTCCTACATTTAAAAAAAAGACTATAAACATGATCAAGTGAGTAGCAGTGAGCATCACTTACACCCTTATTATGGTCTGTAAATACCATTTCCCTACGTGGAAAACGGTTACAGGATACAGGGCCCAGAACTATCATGAGATGCCTTTAGGAAGACACTGAGTTTGAAACTATTCTTATCTACTTTTATGGTGTAATAGCTACCGCAAGTGCATCAAGGTCAGTTACTTGTTCCAATATAGAATATAGTTTATCTGCCTTTCAGAATTCAAACAAACCAGGTGGTAGTCAGAGCTTCAGGTTCAGCGGATCCTGAAGTGTGTACCCTGGCAGAAGAATCCGCTGCTGGACACATGGAAAACAGAATCTCAAATCTAGCAGAACATGACTATGCAAATGTGAATAAACAGTTTCACAGTTGGGTTATAAGGTATGATGATGAGAGGGGCTGATCACACTTAACTCGTTTTTTGGAGTCCACATGTTCACTACTGAGGACACAGCATCTGATGATGGTCTTATTCAGCACATAAACCAACTTACGGAGGACAGAGCCCCAATCCCAGGCTGGTACCTTAGATGACCCTCCAATATTCTATTAAGCCAGCTGCTTCTAAATGAGGAACATATGTTAAGACCAGTGAATATATTCTGGGGCTATTGTAACAGCTTCTTTATCACAAAAATAAAGTTTACTCGTTTGAAGCAACATCGTATGGGTTCCATGTTGATAAGTAAGACATTCTGTTGAGCCCTGAAGTAATGAGGATGGTAGCAGCATTTCAGAATTGAAAGGCAAATAAATATTCAGTGCAGAATAAAGATACACCTGGTAAGAATTTATCATTGTTCATATAGGTTGGAAGGGATTGACATAGCAAAACTGCCAGAGTAGCTGACAGTCGCCTTGAGGAATGCTGCCATATTGAATGATGAGAATCTGTTTCTGCTGATGGCAAGTAAGTTAAAGGCCTTTAGCAGTGGCAATAGCATGGTCAGGCTTATTGAGAAGGAGCACATACATATTCTTCATGAGCTCATTGTACTAGCATGAGAATATCCCTGTAACTTTTAAGAACATCTCTGCCATATGCATTCACATGAAACACAAGCATCTGCCTCCATTATGCCCAGTTCTATAGGTTGATCCATTACCTCTCCCTCAGTCTTCCATGGACGTGCTCCTCTAATTTTGTTCCTTTAAGGCTCCTAACTGAACTATTTACAACTAGGCAGGAGTTTGAGAATATCTGTATTTCAGTTCCCTTTTCCCTGTATTCAGAGTAAAAAACTAAGTTTCTGATCACAGCTCTAGGCACTGGATGGTTTCTTTTTGCTACTATTATTTGGGAACAGGCTCAGTGGGCCCAAGATGTGACAATTGTCCACTTTGGGCTAGTATTTTCCACTTAAGTTTAGTACCAACATCCTGAAGAATTTACAAATGAAATTATATGATATCTTCAATTTGCTTTAAAATAACCAGAGAAGTGGTGGAAGGGTAGCCAGTACCTGGGCAAGATATAGATGCAACAAAGTTGGCCATGAGTTGATAATCCTTAAAGCTGAGTGATGCCTGTAAAAGCATGCCATATATGATTCTCTCTACTTTCATAGGTACTTGTACTATTTCATAATAAAACATTACAAAATAACTAACTACCACTACTAAGTTCTGGCAAGTGTGCTGTGAAGCTGCTACACTCATACGCAATGTCATGGGAGAAAAATCGTCATTTTGGCAGTTGGTACAAGAATTCCATTGTAGGGAAAGACTCTGTAAAGAAAATAGGAATCATTTATGTAAAATGTTGTGTGCTTAGTGATATGGTCACTTATATATGTCACCACAAACCTTCAGTAGAGCTATTCTAAAAAGCTACAAAAAATTATTGGTATGTCAGATTTTCTGGGATTTCTGATGAACGGGTTCAATTGTGAGTTAAGGTTAGGGAGCGAGCAAAATTCAGTCAACCAAAACAGACAAGGATGATCACTGGCAAATGGATTGTATGAATGTAGCAGGTAATCTTCCAAGATGGACATCATCAGCTCATTCCTTCTGTGTATATACTTGCTAGTTCACCATGGAGAAGGGGAATCTGTTTTACCTGTCCTTGAATCTGGGATGGCCTTGTCCAATACAATGTGGCAGAAGCAGCACTATACCAGTTCTAGTCTTACTCTTTAGCATGTGTGAGAGCTTCTTCTGGGATAAAACCAGCCACATTGTAAGAAATCTGAAGCTTCTGAAACTACCATGATGAAAGGAAGCCCCAGCCAGGAGGAGAATCTACATAGAGGAGAACCAAGGAATTAGACATATGACCCCAGTCACAAGTCAAATATATGAACCAGTCCCCCAGCCATTTGAGTAATACCAACAGAGTCCCAGCCCATTTTAGGAGCAGAGGTAAGATGTCCCTGCAGTATCTTATCCGAATTTCTGTCCCATGGAATTGTGATACAAACAATTGTGTTTTAAGCTACTATTTGGGGGGATAGTTTTCTATTTAAAAAATAGATAACTACATGTCAAAAATGAGAAAAGTAAATTATGATCCATTAATTAGACAGAACTTTATGTATTCTTTATGAGTGATGCAGTGAAACACAACATTGCAAATACTTACAAAGTAATGTTACATGAAAAATTGGCATGCAAAATTATGTTTGCCCTCTGATTAAAATTGGATAAAGACATAATAAACATAATGAAAAGAGATATAGAAAAAATGCATCAATGACCTAATATTTGTGTTTACAGTTGATATTGATTAAATATAATAAATATATAATAAAACTTAAAAAAATTCATGAATGCTACCTCAGTCATTTCAGGTCTGGAATTTTAGAAATATTTAGGGATTGTATGGTATGAGGATAAGATATTAGGAAAAAGCTAACTTAAAAAATCAACAGAAAAATGATTTATATTTTGTTTCTAAATCATGCCTGGGGTGACTGAAATCTTCTATAATACAGTTACTGACCTAAGGTGGAATTTAAATAAATACTGATTGAAAGAAAAGAGGAAGGGAGGAGATGAAGAGTGAGTGAAAAATGACAAATTTTAGTCCTAGATTTCAAGGAAAAGGCACCCTAATAAAAAATATGCACCTTGAGTGGGACACTATAAGACTCAATATAATAGTAGCTAATGCAAAATTACATGGTTTAAATTAATATGAAGTATTCTCTTTTTATTCATGTTTGCATTACCAACATTTGTTTTAAAATTAGTTGGTTGGACAGCAGAACACATTTTCCCATAGAAATGACCAAACAGTGGTACTGTGCCAAAATGAGGTTTGGCTTTATTCATGACCGTTGAGATTTGCTACTGGTAACAAAACTTCCCAAGGACCAAATACTCAGCAAATCAAACTAACCACAGAGACTTTAGTATATTTTCTGGCTTCTCAATGAGATAAAGTTGGAGATCTGTTGGAGTTATAACAGTAAGTAACTTCAGAAACATTTTGATACTGCGAGGATCTCACAGATTTACAATTACGCTAGTTGACAAGTTATAATTGAAAAAGGTATTTTCTTTATTGATAAAGATATGAGGAGGCCTTCCTCTAGAGAGTCACACAGTATATAGCATTTAATTTTCATTTGATCAAACACTTACAACTAATATTTTAGTAATATGGCTATTTAATCACAAATAATATACATATTCGATATGAATGGTCATTAGTGTGTTTATTATAGCTCTGAAAACAAATAAATACAAGTAAAAGAGTGACCTTTACTCCAGTTCCCAACAGTTTCCTCATCTCCATCTGAGACCACCTCAGCCAGGACTTCATTGTCCATATCATTATTAGCATTTTCATCAAAGTCATACAATGAGTCTCTAGGAAGTTCCAAACCTTCCCATATCTTCCTGTCTTCTGAGCCCTTCAAGTCTCTACAAAGTTCCAAACTTTCCCATATTTTCCTCTTTTTTTCTGAGCCCTACAAACTGTTCCAACCTCTGCCTGTTACCCTGTTCCAAAGCGGCTTTCATATTTTTGGGTATCTTTGTAACAGCACCCCACTCTCTGCAGTCCCAATTTACTGTATTAGCCCATTCTTGTGCCACTAATAAAGACATACCCGAGACTGGGTAATTTATAAAGGTAAGAGGTTTAATTGACTCACGGTTCCATAGGGCTGGGGAACCCTCAGAAAACTTACAGTCATGGTGGAAGCAGAAGCAAATACATCCTTCTTTACATGGCGACAGCAAGAATTGCCGAATAAAAGGCCCCTTATAAAACCATCAGATCTCATGAGAACTCACTCACTATTATGAGAACAGCATGGAAGTAATGACCCCCACAGTGCAATTACTTATGACCAGGTCCCTCCCATGACGTGGGGATTATGGGAACTACAATTCAAGACGAGATTTGGGTGGGGACATAGCCAAATCATATCACCCACTAGTGAAGAAAGTAAACTACAAGGTGAGATATAGACCTCAAATACAATTTCCTTTCCTTCTCTCTTTCCTGCCAGCCTTCTCTTACACTCCAAAACTTCTGGACAAACACCTTGCAATTCAGACTCTGGATAACAACCTCTAATTGTTTAAGGTACTTAAGGGAAGAAAAATGAAGATTTTAGGAATCTTCTTAAGTTGGCACAAACTGAAAAACTATACAAAGTGTTGTTAACTTAGAACATTATTTTTAAATATACAATATTTAAAAATAGTAAGGTGCTGGGCATGGTAACTATTGCCTGTATTCTCAGCACTTTGGGAGGCCAAGGCAGGTGCATCACCTGAGGTCAGGAGTTCAAGACCAGTCTGGCCAACATGGTGGAACCCCATCTCTACTAAAAATACAAAATTAGCCAAGACTGGTGTTGCACACCTGTAATCCCAGCTACTTGGGAGTTTGAGGCAAGAGAATCGCTTGAACCCGGGAGGTGGAGGTTGCAGTGAGCCAAGACCATGCTGTTGCACTCCAGCCTGGGTGACAAGAGTGAAATTCCATCTCAAATAAATAAATAAATATAAAAATAGCAAGGGATTATGTAAGAATATTTTATTAGGTGTGTTTTTATTATATGTTACTCAACCTGGAAAAGGAGCACTAGACAATATGTGTAGTGGTTTTTCTAAGGTAAAACAGAACATGGATTATAATTCCTGATTCTTTAAATCCCTGAGTATCTGCTTAGTTATGTGCCTGGATATGTTAAATTGTCCCACATCAAAAGGCTTAAATAAAAATTGCTTTATATGATGGGTCTCCTCTGGTTTAGCAAATGTCTCAAAAGCTTAGATGTTCTTGTGTAATAATTTACTAAGTATTATCATATTACTTTATTAGAAGATCAAGCAGTGTAATTTGTTTTCTGACACTTGTATCTTCAAATTCTCAATTTCATAAGAGTGAAAGACTATTCTTAAAATAAAAACCAGAGAATTGTCAAATTTCATGAAGCCGTTTGGGAAGCCAAATGGTTGTATTCATACTGTGTTACAGCTATACTAAACCTTGCTTTTAGAATACCTACAGGGCTCTTTTTTTTTGTTTCTATCAACAACAACAACAACAACAACAAAAACATGAAAATAAATTCATTTCTTTTGAACATTAAATAACCTGGAAAGATAACAATTGAAAAAAAAATCTAAAAATTCAGTAGGTTCTCCCCTAGGATGGACAAAGAGATAATTGAGATTATGATTTTCTAAATAATTACTATTTATTCTGAGGGCTGCTTAAAAGCATTGCATATTCACTGAGAGTTCATTAATAATCATAATGATCTCAAATGTTTGTATAATGTTTCAGGGATGTTCATATAAATTTGCACAAGAACTGTCAACACATGCCTACTCTTAAAGAATACATTTCTGCATCAGATTCACCCACACATAGTTAACCACGTTAGGCTATTGTGCATTGAAGAGTTCATATTTGGCTTGTGTGGGCAAAATGACATTCTCAGTTCTTTAATAAAATGATCTTATTGAACCCATTTCTGATCAGGTAAAGAAACCACCCTGGAATGCTTTCCAAAAACTCAACTATGATTCGTTACTTTTTTTCTCTTTCTATTCCTTTGCAACTCCTCTCTTTATGAATTTACATTGCCCCTCTTTAGTTTATTCTAAAATGTAGTCCTTCAAATATTGTAAATAAACATGGGGGATTAGTTCAGTTAAATAACTAGCAGAGAGCCTTTGGTATCACAATAATATTTTCTGTAAATATCTCAGTCCCCTTTGTATTAGTCCATTTTCACACTGCTGATAAAGACATACCAGAGACTGGGCAATTTGCAAAAGAAAGAAGTTTAATGGACTTGCAGTTCAACATGGCTGGAGAGGCCTCACAATCATGGTGGAAAGCAGGAAGGAGCAAGTCACATCTTACATGGATGGCAGCAGGCTTGCACCCTCTGAAACCATGGCCTGAGCTCTACATTGGCCCCTTTCAGCCATGGATGGAACAGCTGGGATGTAGAGCACCAAGTCCCAAGGCTGCACACAGCACAAAGACCCTATGCCTGGCCCATGAAACCATTTTTTCCTCCTAGGCCTCAGGGCCTGTGATGGAAGGGCTGCCATGAAGACCCCTGACATACCCTGGAGACATTTTCCCTATTTCTTGGGGATTAACATTCAGCTCCTCATTACTTGTGCAAATTTCTGCAGCCAGCTTGAATTTCTCCTCAGAAAATGGGATTTTCTTTTCTATCACATTGTCAGGCTGCAAATTTTCTGAACTTTTATGCTCTGCTTCCCTTATAAAAGTGAATGCCTTTAATAGCACCCAAGTCACATCTTGAATGCTTTGCTGCTTGGAAATTTCTTCTGCCAGATACCCTAAATCATCCCTTTCAAGTTCAAAGTTCCACAAATATTTAAGGCAGGGGCAAAATGCCACCAGTCTCTTTACTAAGACTTAGCAAGAATAACCTTTGCTCCAGTTCCCAAGTTCCTCGTTTCCATCTGAGACCACCTCAGCCTGGACTTTATTGTCCATATCGCTATCAATATTTTGGGCAAAGCATTTCAATAAGTCTCTAGAAAGTTCCAAATTTTCCCACATTTTCTTCTCTTTTTCTGAGCCCTCCAAACTCTTCCAACCTCTGCCTCTTACCCAGTTCCAAAGTCGCTTCCACATTTTCAGCAGCACCCCACTTTACTGGTGCCAATTTATTATATTATTCCATTTTCACATTGCTGATAAAGACATACCGGAGACTGGGCAATTTATAAAATAAAGAAGTTTAATGGACTTGCAGTTCAACATGGCTGGAGAGGCCTCACAATCATGGCAAAAGGCAGGGAGGAGCAAGTCACTTCTTACATGGATGGCAGCAGGCAAAGAGAGAGCTTATGCAGGGAAACTCCTGTTTTTAAAACCGTCAGATATTGTGAGACTCATTCACTATCACGAGAACAGCACAGGAAAGACCTACCTCTATAATTCAATCACCCCCCACTGGGTTCCTCCCATGACATGTAGGAAAAGTGGGAGTTACAATTCAATATGAGATTCAGCTGGGTACCCAGCCAAACCATATTACTCTTCCTATTTAATGTGTCACCATTGTGAAAAATAAAGCTCAGAGGACATTTGCAACAAATTTTATGAAAAAAATTGCTATCAGGAAATATGTCCTACTATGAAAATATAGGTATCTTGCCTGCAACTTCACCTAGCAAAATACTATCAGGAAATTTTCTATTTAAATTCCCTAGAGTAATTTACCCATTTACCTGTTCAATAACTTATTAACTACTTCATTCAGAAAACATTTATGTAGAAGTATGCTAAATGCTAGTGATAAAAGAATGAAGAACAATCCCTATCACAGAGGAGATGGCTACTTTGATAATTCATCTTTAAAATCTATTTTTTATTCCAATGAATAGTCTCTGTGAAGATGTATGTGCATGATGAATATTTTCCATGTGAGATTCTAAACTGTAAAGTACAAGGACATAAACTTTGGTGTCAGATCTGGTTCTAAGTCTAGCCCTGTCATTACTAGCTATATGACTTTGAGAGTGTTGGACAACTCCCTAAGCTCAATTTCTTCATTTGTAAAGTGCAGACGACAGTGGTATCCTTAACACCTACAACTGGGCTGGGCGTGGTGGCTCACGCCTGTAATCCCAGCACTTTGGGAGGCTGAGGTGGGTGGATCACGAGGTCAGGAGATCGAGACCATCCTGGCTAACACAGTGAAACCCTGTCTCTACTAAAAATACAAAAAATTAGCTGGGCATGGTGGTGGGTGCCTGTAGTCCCAGCCACTCTGGAGGCTGAGGCAGGAGAATGGCGTGAACCCGGGAGGCAGAGCTTGTAGTGAGCCAAGATCATGCCACTGCATTCCAGCCTGGGTGACAGAGCGAGACTCTGTCTCAAAAAAAAAAAAAACAACAAAACAAAAACAAAAAAAAACAAAACACACACACACCTACAACTAATAAATACAGGCTACTTCTTACAGATTTCTCTTTTACAGCTCTCAATTAATGATACTGTAACAGTCAATATGTATAAGATATTTAGAAGTGTACTGTTAATGCCTGGCTTCTTAGAATGCAGAAATTGGAAAAGAATGTTGGCTCCTTTCTAACAATAAAAAGAAGCTATATAGTTTACAAAATGATAGCTCTCCTTGAACCCATCAGGGTAGTGGGATTGGAGGACAAACAAGTATCCTGAAATCCAAAGAAAAACAGGAGCTTCCAAGGAAATATGGATGTCAAATACAGACCCACCAGGAGCAGAGCAAGGGAGGAAGATAGAGCTGCTAAACAAAGCAGTTAAGAAACATTCAGCTAAATTTTTAACACATTGCTAAACTGTGGATTAACATGAGAACAGAGAACCTTTGGGAGGCCAAAACACAAGGGAGTCTACATCCACTCAAAGTTTCCTCTCTATACATTTCCACTAGGTCAAGTGGATAAGGCTGTCACTGTAGGAAAACCCAGAGATCCTGTGCAGATCCTTTCCCCCAACGAAGCAAAAGTCTAAAGTTGTGAGAAAGACAACAACCCCTGACATTCCAGGATACAGGTGTAAACCCATTGTACCTAGAGGTAGGAGAGAAATTAACCCCTCCACTATTAGCAGAGAGTCAGGAAACGGAAGTCCCTGGTTATGCCAATGACAAAGGGAATGATGCTGTATAAAGACACCAATATATGATGATGTATAAAGAATCCCCCAGTTTCACACCACTAGGCTAATAAGCACAGAGTAGCAAGAAACAGTAGTGCACCTCTGGGGCAAGGGCAAGAGCATGAAGAGAGACTCTGAGATAAAAGCACAGGGATGCAGCCTAATGCTGACAGTGAGGAAGAAATAATGAGAAAACCCTCTGATAAACCAGTCCCATGCCAAGAACATGCTAATGCCAGATAAATTTGAAGTCAGTGTACACTGAAGGTAATCAAAGCAGTGATGAAAAGTAAACCCATCTAACCCTCTGACCAGATTGACTCACACTCTTACCCTTACAGCAAAGGAAAGGAAAGTGCATGCCTATTTACATGCATGAATGCCATTTGTAAACCACATAAAATCTATTCTCTGATCATAACAAAATTAAACTAGGAATCAATAACAAAAGTAAACCTGGAAAATATTCAAGTATTTGGAAATGAAACAATACACTTCTACATAATTCATGACTTAAAAAATAAGTCTTAAAAAATTTAGAAAATAGTTTCAATTTAAAAAAAATAAAAACACGTCATCATTTGTGGGATGCAGCTAATTCAGTAGTTAGAGGGAAATCTATAGCATTACTGTTTACTTAAGAAAAGAGCGAAAGTCTGAAATCAAAGCTTCCATGTTAATAAACTAGAAAAAGAAAGGAAAAGCAAAAGTAAACAAAAGGAAGGAAATAGTAAAGATGAGGGCAGAAAACAATGATATTGCAAACCAAAAAACAGTAGAGAAAATCACGAAAACCAGAAGCTATTTATTTTCTTAAAATTAACAAAATAGATAAATTTCTAGTCATACTTAGCAAGAAAAAAACAGAATATGAAATTAACAATATCAACTATGGAAGAAATGAATCACTAAAAACCTGCAGATATTAAAATAATAACATAAGAATATTATGAATAATGTAATGCCCATAAATGTTGGCAGCAGAAAAAATGGACAGATGCCTTGAAAGAAAAACCACCAAAGCTCACTCAAGAAAAACAGATAAACTAAATGATCTTGTATTTACTGGATTAATTGAATTTTTAATTAAAAACCCTCCAATGGAAACAAACAAACAAAAAACTTAGATAGGTTCATTAATGGCTTTACTGGTAAATTCTACCAAACATTTAGGAAAAAAGTTATACCAATTCAATGTAAAAATTTTCAGAAAATATTAGAAGAGAGAACGTTTTCTAATTTACTTTATGAAGCTAGCATTACCCTGAAAGTCAAATCAGACAAAGCCATTACAAGGAAACAAACTTACAAACCAATATGCCTCATAAATATAGATGTACAAATGCTTAGCACAATTGAATACAGCAATATGTACAAATGGTGATTTAACATTATCAATCAAAGTAATTCCATTGTACCAATAGACTACAGAAAAGAAAAACACATGATCATTTCAATCAATTCAGAAGAATCATTTGACAAAATATAATACTTGCTCATGATAAAAACTCAGGAAACTAGGGATCAAAGGGAACTTTCTCACTCCATTAAAAGACACTTAAAAATAAAATTTACAGCCAACATCATACTTAATATTAAAATGTAATTAAGCACATAAAAGAACCATAAAGCTGTGCAGCTCATACTAGCAGACTTTGAGTTACTTTTCAAACCACAGTAATAAAGATAGTATTATATTGGAGAAAGAATGGAAACACAAATTAATTGTGAAGAATAGAGGGTCCAGAAATAGACCCATGCATATATGGTGAATTGATTTTTGAATAAGTTGCAAAAGACAATGGAAAATGGATGGTCTTTTCAACAAGTGATGTTGGAACTATTGAACATTGAGGACCAAAATAATTAACCTTAAGTTATACCTTTTGATTTAAGCAAAATTAAGTAAAAAGAAATCATATCCCTAAATGTAAAACTAAAACTAGAAAGCTTCTTTATAAAAGCATTGGAGAAAATCTTTGTGAATGAATGTGAGTTAGGTAAATATTTTTTTAAGTATAATATGACAGGCATATACTATAAAAGAAAAAATATATATAAAATGGACTTCATTAAAATTAAAAATTTTACCCTTCAAAAGATAATGTTAAGACAATAAAAAAGAAAGACCAGATGGGAGAATATATTTGTAAAATACATATCTGATGAAGGATTTTTCTCCAGAATGTATAAAGGATTTTTCTTCAGAATAAAGAATTTTTAAAGCTCTATTCTAAGAAAACAAACAAACAAACCAATAAAAAATGGTCAAGATATTTCAACAGCCATTTCAATGAAGAAGAAATACAGTTGTCAGGCAAGTTCATTAACAGATATTGTAAATAGTATACTCAGTATCACTAGTGATTAGGGAAATGCACATCAAAACCAAAATGAGCTATATGGAAGGAAGTATTCTAAGATGGCCCCACAATGATCCATGCCCTTGTATATTGCCCTTTCCTTGAGTGTAAATAGAGCTTGTAACTATGATGAAATATCACTTCCATGATTAGGCTATGTTATAAGGCAAAGGTGAAGGGATTTTGCAGATATAATTAAGATCCCTCCTCAGTTGATTTTTAGCTAATTCAAATGGAGATAATCTGAGTAGATCTAATTTAATTTGGTGAGCTCTTAAAAGAGGGTTTAGTGGTTAGAAACAGGAAATCAGAGCAATGCTCCTATTGGCTCCAAAGAAGTAAACTGCCATTTTGTGAGAAGACCTGAGAATGAGGGACCTCCAGCAACTGAGAGTGGCCTCAGGCCAAAGGAGAGCAAGAAAACAGAGGCCTCAGTCTTAAAATATAAAAAACCAAACTCTGCCAACAACCTGAATTAGTTTGGAAGAGGACTCTAGGCCTCAGATGAGATAGCAGCTCCACTGACACCTTGATTTCCATCTTGGGAGACCCTGAACAGAGTATCCAGCTAATCTGTGACTAGCGGTCTGTCTCCCAGGACATTTGAGATAATAAATTTGTGTTGCTTTAAGGTGCTTTGTTTGTGGTACTTTGCTATGCAGCAATATAAACTAATAAAATACCACTGCACACTTATGAGAATGGTCAAACAAAAACTGACAATAGTAAGTGCTATTTGCAATGACACAGAATGATTGGAACTCATACATTACTGATGAAATGCAAAATTCTACAAATGCTTCACAAAATAACTTGTCAGTTTCTTATAAGGATATACATACACTCAGCACATGACCCAGTAATCCTTTGCTTAGGTATTTATTTCAGAGATGTGATCATCTATGTTCACACAAAAACTTGTAGGCTAATGTTTATGGTGGCTTTATACATAAATGCCAAAAGCTGAAAGAACCCAAATGTCCTCCATGAAAGGTTAATCTGTGGAACATCTGTGCAGTGGAATACTATTCATCAATAAAAAAGAAATGAATGTTTGATACATGCAATTACATTGATGGATGTCAAATATATAAGCTAAGTGAAAAAATCTATGTACTTTATGAGTTTATTAATTTTTACATTTCAGAAAAAGGAAAAATTATAGAGAAATAAAATAAGTCAGTAGTTGCCAGGGATTAGGGTGATCAAACATATTAACTACAAAGGCACATGAAGAATTCTTTGAGGAGATACAACAGTTCAATATTTTTATTTTGTGGTGGTGACTACATACAATTTGCCAAAACTCATAAACTGTACACAGAAAATATTCATTTCTTTGTATATAGCTTATACCTCAATTAAAATATTGATATGTAAAACAAAATATAGCTGCTGTATTAAAATATCAGTGGCTTAATACAGCACAAATTTATCTCTTGCTCAGAAAATTTCAAAATAGACATTTGCAATCAATCCATGAGCAGTTCTCCTACACGTGGTGATTCAGGAACAAAATTCCCTCCATCTTGTTCATGTGTTCAGTATATGAACCCCAGGCTGGTCTGCTTCAAGTTAAATAAGAGAAAGAGCATGGGTTTTCACACATTAGAGGGCAAGGCCTGAAAGTGACTTGTGTCACATTTGCTAACATCCACTGCCCAGCACTGAGTCCAGAGCTACAGCTAACTGAAGGGAGGCAGTAGAATTTACACAAGTGGTTTGTATAAACAAAACATGTTTTGTGAATAGATAACCAGTCTATTTATTACTTTTATAGTAAATATAAAAGCATAGACTATTTCCCACATATAATAAAGTTTAGGCCTTAAAATTAAACAAATAAAAAACAAAAAACATAAGATATAACAAATGATAATAAAAATGGATGTTTATTTTTGTAGAACACTACATTGTTATGGAATATTTCTGCTAGAATAATGTATCATTTTAAAGTGAATTGAGAAAAATATTCTTGCATGAAATATTTACCTATGATGTTTTCTTTTGGAATTCTTCCGACTTGTGGCTTGTCTTCTGAGTTGCAGTTCAGATATTTTTCCACTATGTCACTTTGCCTCCCCAAATTCAAATTAGAGAGGTATACCTGGAACAAGGATGACTTCCTGAAGAAATCTTTACAAAATACTTTTATTTTCTACGGATAACTTTTAAATGAGATTTTAGTCCATTTGTCTAACATTAGTATTCATTAGATTTCACTCTAATTTTTTTTTCTTTCCTGATACAAGATACTCAGGGATAAAATAAAGGAAAACATTCGTGTTTGGGTTCACTTCAAGAAAAAGCCTTAATATTGATGGACTCTTCAAAATAGTATTTAGTGACTTAGATTGGAAAATCCTTTCAAGAATTTGAGACAAATAAACATATTTGGCTTATAATAACATTTTGGTTGCTAGAACATACATCATATAGTAGCATCTACATGAAATGTTGATTATTATCTATTTTTCCATAGGTACATTCTTTTAGGGTTGGTTAGTAAGTAGTATTAGCAAATTTAATAACCTGCAATGTGATTTTGTTTTAAATTCATAGAATATTTAACATTATTTTCTAAATATTGGGTTTTGTAGTTGGTTCAAGTAATCCCGTAAGTCACTGGTGATGAATGAGAGATCTATTGCAGTGTAATAATTTATCCTTAGAAATGTTAATTCGAGCAATTCTCACCAAAAGTGCCTAATAAAATTATTTTCTCATCCCATAAATATCATCAAATTATTGTTTTAATAAAATTCTAGAAGGAAAAGTGCAAAAAATGGATATTCTGGTCTTCTCTTAAGGACAAGGAAGTAAAATGGCATGGTTTTTAAATTATCTTGTATGCATAATAAATCAGATATGACATTATAGACTCTGATCATCTGTGTATAAATGCAGATATGGGTTTTTTGTGTATCTGAATTTCATTACTCAAATATTTTATGATCTGTAAACTAATTTCACTTTAAAATTACAATCTTATGAACGTCTTCTATCAGTCATCATCTATGGTTATTAATGCAAGGGATGTGGCATGTTTGTATTAAATTGGCACAGCATGAAGTGTGAATTTTGTGATATATTTTAAACTCTATGTTCATGGATTGTTTTCTTCTGAGTGGGTGGATCACAGCTATATAAAGACACATTATGTTTCAAGGTCTGTCTCAATTTGAAATATATATATTTATTTACAGAGTATAAATAAGAAACAAAATGAGGAAAATTAAATTTGAAGAACTCAATATTTCAAAAGCTTGGAGCATTATTTTTAAAATTAGTTTTGAGGAGAGACTAATCAGAGGAACAAAGATTAAGGAAAAGTATCAGCCTGATTCTAATGAAAACTAATAGCGTCAAAGAAAAATGTGACCAAGCAAAGTAGGAAAAAAAACAAACAAGCACTGTAAGGTAGATTGTTTTGAGTGTGCCTTTTGGTTGTTGATGTTTCTAAAGATATCAGAGCTTCTTAAATTTTATTCTGCATGGTAAATCTGGTCTTATAAAGTGGATTAGATATCAATCAGTCATTAATCAAATTACTAATTTGTTTTTAGAATTTATTTATCTGGAACGTCATAGAGCTTGGTCAAAATGGCCCAGAAATTTAACATGCTACATATTAACACTAAATTCTTATGTTTTTCATGTTAAATGTCATACAGCATAAAAGTGGGACTAACATATAAGACATAGGTGCAGAAAAATGTAATTCATATACATATATGGCAAGCTTTCAAAACATATTTTCTTCCTTTTGTTTTTATCTCCTTGTCTATGTTGTGGTCATATTACATGAAAAACAAGACTAATACTCTATTAAGGTTTCAGCTTAATAATAATATAATTTACTACAAAGAACAGTTTGAGTGCTGTCTAGTTCATTTATTCACAAATATTTACCATGCGCCAACTATTGCCAGGCATTATGACACAAAGTGTAAAAAAATTATATGCTACCTGCCCGGAGCTAATAGTCTAGTCCTATAAATGTTAATTTGAATACTTTAACTAAAAGTGCTTAATATTGTGATTGGGGTTACATGCTGTGGAGGAGAGTTATATGGTAATATGTGAACATAGAAGAAGAGATCATGGAAAACTTGAGTGACAAAGTAAAATCTTAGTAATGAGCTGTGATCTGGAAAATGAGCATGCCTCAGTTAGCAAGAGTAATCCTGGCAGAGGAAACAGGGTGTAGAAATCCGCTACTGCAGAGGGAGCACAGATGAGGAGCAGCAGTGACTGGGACAGAAAGAATGAGAAGGGTATGAAACACCAAGCTGGAGATGTGTGTGCTTGCTGGACCTTGTAGGCCCTGGTAGGTCATGAATAGATCTTCTGTCCTTTATCTAAGATTAACGAGAAGTTCTCAAAGTGTTTTAAGTTTGTGTGTGTGTGGAGGAAGGATGTATAGCGTTGCAATGAGAAGATCTGAATTTCAGAAAGCTCTTATTGACTTGCGGTGGAGATGACAGAGTCCTTAGTGTCAGGAAGACCAATAGGGAAGTTATTGCAATCATCTAGGTAACAGAGATTGATGACTAGCCTTGTCTCCAGGGGCTATTTTCCAAGACTTCAAGCCTCTGTTCTACAAAAAGGAAGCTTATAGGGTATTATAAGCTTAATTTTCTTACAGTGGTGGTCAAAATCTAGCCTCCTATATGGAATTAGTATACTTAATATACTTCGGTATAGTGTTAGCTATTTAGAAAGTTGGAAATGAAGAGAAACAAAGAGAGATAAAGCTAAAGTGTAGAACATACTAAGAAGTTAGGCAGACTTCTGGGGAAAAACAATGAGGGCAGAAGAGAAGGCCTCAAGTCTGTGTATCAAGATGACAAATCCTGTGTGTTCTAAGCTGTATTAGTTATCTATTGCTGTTTAACAAATTAACCCCAAATGTAATGGCTTAAAACAACATTTTACTATTTTACAGTTTCTGTGGGTCAAGAACCTGGGTGCAAAGTACCAGGGTCCTCCTTCTCAGGGTCTTTCACAATACTGTAATCAGGCATCAGTGTAGGTGTCAGATGCAACGTCATCTGGAAAGTCTACTGGGGAATGGTTCTTTTCCTAGCCCACTCATGTGATTGTTGGCAGGTCAGTTGCTTCCATGCTTTTGGAAAGAATTCCTCAGTTTCATGCTGACTTTGGTTGAAAGTCACCCTCAGTTTTTTGCCACATAGGCTACTTCATGGAGCCACTCTTAATATGACAAAGCAAATAAGACAAATCAGAGAGAGAATGCATAAGATGGAGTTTATAGTCTTAAAATCTAACCTCAGAAGTGACATTCCATTATTTTTTTCCATTCTATTTGTTATAAGCAAGTTACCAGCTCTAGTTCACAAGCAAGGGGAGAAGATTACACAAGAGAGTAAATACCAAGAGGTAGAGATCATCAGAGGCCATTTTAGAAGCAGCCTACCATAGAGGGTAAGCTTTAAAATGCACAGCAAACATGAACTGGGAGACACAATAAAGTAATGATTTGGAAGCTGCCCATTCAAAAGAAGTATAAATAAAAAGCATTCTGGTGTATTCCAGGAAATAAATCTGAAAATTAGAATAGGGGTGGAAAAGATTCAAACTCCTAGGAAATAATCCTGTAAAGGGGACAACAGGTTCCAGGCAAACTAGGGATACATACCACACTGTGAGTTAATTGAATGTTTCCTTTTTTGGCATTTCCTACTAGGTGATAAGCTCCAAGATGACAGGTGCTATGTTGTCATTTACCTTTATAACCTCAATATCTTGCATAGTGCAAGAACATTTTAGGTGCTCAATAAATATTACATGAAGGACAAAGGACTTTGACTTCTTAATCTTGTTTTAAAAGGCTTTATCTAAGCAGGACTGGGCCGTAATTTCCCATAGAAGATCAGCCATTAGATGCCACTGACTTTCAGTTTCATAATATTTATTTGTAACAATGATGATAGTTTGGGAGAAATGAATTATGTTTGAAATCCTGTTTGCATATAATTATGAGAGACATCATATTCCCAGTCTTTTAAGTGACACATAGTTAGAATTTGGACAGAGAGAAAAGAAAGTAGGAGTAATATAGCTATAATTCATAGGATCTATCTTCTCTATTTTTAAGAAGTTTACGAAGTGTAAAGTCTTGACACATAATGGAAACTAAAAATGGAAATTACAGAAAATTTGTAACAAGTATCAAATAAATTATTGCAACTTAAAAGATACTAGCATTTGAAGGAGACAAAAGTTACTAGTATAGGGACAATCAGGAGAATCTCATAGATGACATGGGAATTCCCGGGATGAGATTGTGAAAAGAGAGGAAGGACTAGGTTTTCTGGGTACACAAGAATATGGGTGAATGTTCAGGGAAGAGCTGAGGAGAAGCACAAGGCCAAAGAAATGACTGCTGCTTTTCTTCTGACCAGTGTCATGACTCACATGTGGCTTGTTGGCAATTTTTAGAACTTAAAATAAGAAGGAAGTATAGTTTAAGAATGACTTTGCCTCCTTGCTTTTAGCTTTTATTAATCTTCCTGGGTCATACTCTCTTCATTTATAAAACTGGGAATCATGATAATCTAACCTCATGGGATTCACGTGAGGATGAACTAATACCTGTGTCAATGGTAGACAGTCAGTTGGCTTGTTCACTCAACAGCCATTCCTAATGCTCTTTTCCCTTTGATTTTTTCTACCATTCAGGCTGGAGGTACACATTTTCTATTGTCCTAGCCTTTCAGCCAGAGGACCCCCTTTCTGAACCTGAGATTTCAGAAAGTCATCTTGGAAGGGCTTCACATTTCACAATTAAAAGGCAAAACTTTCTGAAACCTCTAGGATCTCTCCAAAATTTTAGCAAAGGCTTCTAAGCACAAAGATGTTAGGTGGTAGTTTGTAGGCATAGAAATAACAGAAAACAGATGATATCAGCACTGGAGGATAGTGAGATGGTCCATAAACTGAACTGATAGAGTAGAAGCTTGGAACCAGACAATGTAAATCTCCTAGGAATTCACAAGTTCCCTGGAAGTGCATGGGATTTTCCACAGACATCTGGTGGGGAAGGCTAATTTTAGATGGTACATAGTGACTTGCACTGTCATTGGAGTTACAGGCCTAATAAAAGGCAATTCTGCAATGCCCAAATTGTATGGAGACAGCTATAATTTGAAACTCCATAACGTTTGTATGAGTTATACAAAGTTTCTCATATATTTAATATTATTCAGTAATAAAGCATACGTACAAATTATTTAGTAATATCTTTCCATTTCTAATCCAAAAAGTTAGAGGATTATCTTAATTAGGATCATATAAATTATAAGAACACAGAGGAAATATAGGAAGGTTTGTGCAGACATTCTGGAAGAGACAATTTGGGGGAAAACCTACAATTACCAGATGGATATTTCAGAAAGTGGCCCAGAAATACTATATTGTGGCCATATTTCTTATTCCCATTGTAATCATTCTCATCTGATGCACACACATTGGTAGAATCCTTTTAAGGAATTCTTTGCTTGGCCATTTAGCATTTGACAGCGTCATCCACTCTCTACTACTTTAGTTTTCATGATACAAGTTTTTTTCTGGTCCTCTCAGTTTCTTATTCCAGTTTCCTATATGCGTCTTCTTCCTCTCTATACTTTTTGGCAATTAGTGATTTTCAAAGCCTATCCTTGGTTTGCTCTTTTCTTTCTACTCACCCTACCTTTCTCTGTCCACTAATAACAGACATTTCTATAACTTTATCCCATACCACCCTCCTGAGCTTTTCCTGGATGGCTCACAGGCATATCCAACTCAACAATTCCCATACATATTCCTCATTATCTTTCCTTCAAGATCTACTTCCCCTCCTATTCTCAATTGTGGTGAATGATACTACCAATCACAGACTTCCACCCAATCACCAAATTCTCTAGCCACACCACTGCTTCTCTTTAAGCCCTTAGTATAGTTTACCTGAGGACATTTCCTTACCTGTTTCTCTGCTGCTAGTCTTATGACACTCCACCTGACCTCCATATTGTCACTAAAGTTATTTTTCTAAAATACAAAGCTGTTGATCCTGCCTCATAATAAAATCCTCTTTAACACATGTATAATAAAATAAATCTTACACAGCATTTGGGGCATTTAATGATTGTTTCTTCCCTTGGCCCTGTACCTTGGGCTACAGCCATACCAGAGGACTTGTCCTCCCACAAATGTGCCTTTCATCAGGCTTCTAGCCCACTGAAATGCCTTTCTGCCTAGTGACAATCTTTCTGTGAAGCCATTTTGATTCCTCACAAGTAGAAGTGGAATATATATATATTTTTTTCCATACTAGTAGACGGCATACTCTGAAATCAGGGGCACTTGTTTGTATTTCTTTATTCTGAGCACTGGTATATTATTTTAAGTATTCAATCACAGTGTGTTAAATTAATTGATTAATTAATTAATGCACAAATGGTGAAATGAATAAGTATTCAAACACGTGGATATTCTTTGTTACTTTGCTGATTTCCAGTTAGAAAGCTATTATCTGTTCTCTTTGCTTGCTCACAACTTGTGGCTGTCTCCTGCATGCTAATTGTTACACAAGTCATACCAGCTTTTTAAATCCATGAAACGGTCTTTATTGGCACTGACATTTTCATCCTTCGATCCCTTACCACATTGCAGTTTCACAGAGTCCAATAGTTTCAAAGCTTGGACTGAATGGTTTTTGAACCTATATATACACAGAGCTGGTCTGTGTCCTAAATGTACAAATTTAACTCCATATTGCAGGGCACATTCCATGATTAGTTTATAAGATTCCATAATACTGAGTGCAGTCAGTACCACTTGTTTGTTTTTTCCCTTGCCCTTATTAGTCATTAGTCAAAGTTTTATGGATTCACTATGTCATATGTCTAAAAAGATTGAGACCCATTTTAATAATTTAGTATCTAATATATATAAACTATTCTGTTTACAAATGCATTCTGATAGCTATGCCAACTTTTAAATGATTGTTGTGTTCCAATCCGTGCTTTAAATCTTTACTTGTATCAACCCATTTACTTCTTATAACAAATCCATTAAGTAGATAATATTAATATCTCCAAAGAAAAGATGTGGACTGTTAGGGACAGAGAGATTCAGCAACTTGACCAAGATCACAAGGCTGGTTCTTGGCAGAGCCTCAATTTGAACTCAGAAAACTGGACTCCAAAGCCTGTACACTTAATCACCTCTCTATTCTAAACAAACATACAAAAACTAGCTTTATTTTTCAGGGTAGTCCCCTAGGGAGTTTACACTTGTTCAAATAATGCTGCGCTTTCCCACAATATTAAATGGATTCTTCTTTTGGAATTACCTGCAGAAGTGGTTTGCTGGTCTCATGAGCATTGTAATCTGTAGACTGTGCTATACTCTAACACTCTTCTCCTTTCCCAGTCTTTCCTTCTGCTCTTCTCAGCTTCACTCTTCTCCTTTCCTTAACTCTGGTTTTTGGTCAACAGTCCATAAATGCCCCAAGAGCATGGCTGGGCTGACACTCACTAGGGCAGCGTACCTCTCTGCTGCCCTGTCTCAGCCCCAGAGGAAGTGATGAAGGGCCACCCTCGAAGTAAAGCCTAAGGATGTCCTATGTGTTAAATGTACATGTTCCTCTTAAATTCATGTATTAGAACTTTAAACCCCAAGGTGATAGCATTAACAGGTGGGGCTTTGGGGAAAGTTATTCAGTCACAAGAGTTCCACTCTCCTGAATAGATTAGTGCTCTTCAAGAGGCTAAAGGAAACACCCTAGTCCCCTTTGCCCTTTTCTCCCTTTCTGCCATGTGAGGATGCAGCTGACACCAAATGCTGACACCTAGATCTTGCACTTCTCTGCCTCCAGAACCATAAGAAACAAATTTATGTTCTTTATAAATTACTCAGTCTGAGATATTTTGTGACAGCAGCAGGAACAGGTAGACAGGATGCTTGAGGAAGTCCTTCAGGAAACAGGCTAGAAAGCAACATTGTATACTGCTCATTCTCTTTCTGTGTGACCAATCGATCATATGGCAGCAATTGACTGCAAATCATTAAATTAAGTCACTTGGAATCAAGAATCTCTGTTTTGTAGAGTCTGTTAATAGTTTTGTGCTTTTACAGCAAAAGTGCACTAGTTTTCTTTTCAGGAACCTATTTCGCCTTCTTTTTTAATTTCTGTATTATGGTAGTCTGACTTGCATGGGTCAGAGGTGAACATGTGACCCAGGACTGGGCTGTGAGAGTAAGGCCTGGAATTTTTGCTGTAACTATGGGGAAGATGTCTGCCTGAGATCAAAGCTAACATAGCGTCCAGAGATGGAAAGAGAAAGATAACTGATGTTACTATTTGAGCTTCTAGGTCCGTATGTACATAGGTCAATTAATTCCCCTGGATTTTCAGTGAAGTGTATTGATTTTTCAGTAAGGCAGATTAAAATAGGTTTTGTAAACCACAATATTTTTGACTACTAAATAATTGATATCACACAAATGTTAATCAGGTAATATTCACTCAAATTGATTAACAGCTTGGTTGGACAACCCTTAGTTAACAAATTTTTTTTCTAAGTAGCTACCAAATATATATCAAGCCTCATATAGTAATGCAACATAGAGTCATTGGTCTTCTAGTTTTCACAGGAACATTATAAAGCAAGAACATCCTCATTTATTCATTCATTATAAGGAAGCTATTATGAGCTTTCCCAATGTATTTGGCAGGAGTATACAATAGTGGAAATAAACCTATTTTCTGGCTTAATTAAGGTCACAGACCTGTAGCAAGATGGGCATCAATTACATAAAATAAAAATGTAATCACAAAGAGAAGTGTAAAATCACAACTGTTGCAAGGATTGCCACATAATCATTGGAAGGCCTATACTAATAACAGAGGCATTTGACCTTATCAAGGAGGTTGGGAAATTTACCTTTCTTGGTAAATGATTTCAAGCTACTGCTTTTAAGGACTAAGCATGAGTTCAGTGAAGGCTACTGGGAAACCACCCACCATTCCTTTTTCTACCTGTAGAATACCAACTTAGTGCTCAGCTAACATATTTCCTCCTCCTTCTGCCCCTGGGGAAAAGCACAATGATGCCCTCTGGAAGAGCCCTAAGGAGGATCACCTAGCATAGGCCCTGGGAGTGATTTCAGGCATATTGAGGCAGCAAATTCTCATGTCCTGAGTAGCTGAGACATTATCTAATGGGGAGGTTTCATGCCCCAGTGGCCTGCCACCTGAGCTGGCCCAATGGAAGGGGCTCAACAGAGGGGATGGTCAGAGTCAGGGTCTCCACAGCATAGGGCCCAGACTAAGAACCACACTTGACCAAATCTAAGGACAGATGCAAGGACACTTAGATGAGTTTTGAAGATAAAGCCTGTAAGTGGAATAGAAGTACAGAGGAGGTGAGTGAGAGCATGAGAAAAAGGAACAGCATGGCTCAGCTTTTTAGCAAGAAAACACATTCTTCATCATTAGAAATCTAGCTTATACTTCAAGTTATTCCTTCATTTTTAAAAATATCTTACCTATGAATATAAACAATCCAAAAAATATGGCAACAAATGTCATGAAATGTAGGTGGACTAAAATTTCTGCATGATATAATTTTCATACTAAGCTATTATCTCAAAATAACTAAATCACACAATCACGTACAGAGAGAGATGTACAACAAATAAAATAGCCTCCATCCCCAAAAGCCATTTTTTTAAAGAAATGATATATTCCATATGGCCTGCAGCTGTCTAATCACTCTGGGACTAGTTCAGCTGAGTGACAGTCATTGAATGTGTCCACAGCCTTTTTAGTGACAAGAGCAATATACCTACACTTTTGTTGTTAGATTAGGTAGTAATCAGTGGGTGGTAATTTAGGGCCCCACATATATGGGTGCATAAGGAAGTATGGCAATAATGTTAGTTATTATTGAACTCTGAATGTTAATCATATTCAATTCATTAGCTAAATTTCAAGCTTTCAAGGGGCTTAGTTTAGTGCTGTTGCTGAACTTGAAAGAAGTTATAGCTCTAAAACATGCATAGATTTATTAAGGTGACATGTTAGACTCACAGACATATAGGTGACTTAATATGTAAAGAATACTTTAAAAAATAAATTCCAGGACACAATTTCTTCATATTATTTTCTACTTTGGCTCTGAATACTACAATAGTGGCAATTTGGCTGTAAAATGATTTGTCCCTCTAAACCAATGTTATCAGTTATTGTAATTAAGAATAAGCATCTTTCTTTAAAAAAAAAAAAGTGGAGACTTCACAGTCTGTAGAACACTTCTAAAATAATACCCTCAAAAAAGTCTTTTTTTCACTATACACTAGAGTTTTAACCAAATTAGGTTTTACCTAATTTTCTTTAGAAAATGTATATGTTCATCAGACTTTATCATAACATCCAGTTTAACAAATTTTGTCATTTAAATAATTTTAGTTACAAATTCCAAATTCCCCCTCTATGTAAATAGCCTCAAATTGCCTTAGAGCAGAAGCTCTCCAAATACAGTCTCAGCCTAGAGGTGATTTACTTTTTTTTTAGGAAGAGATTTTTTTAGTTATATTAACTCTCTAATGTAAAACCCAGTGAAAAGAGAATCTGAGAAATTCTTTTACTTCGATAAATCAAAAATGTTGAAACTTTCAAGTTTAAAATTTTCCCCAGGGCACTATAAGAAAACTGTCAGGAGATAAGTTTGAAAAGAATGTTATAACATTTAGAAGTTATAAATAAATTAAACAACATAGGTCATGGCATAAATGAGCATTAACTATTTCTATCAGGCTTGAAATTTTCATGACCTACATTTCTTCGTTTCGTATTATATTATGAAGTCTATATTCACTCCCAGAGCTTTTTTTTTTCTTTTTTTTTTTGTTTTTTTGTTTGTTTGTTTGTTTTTGGAGTAACTAGAGCTGTGTGGGAAAGAGGTAAAGCAAAGGAAGGTTAATGAGGGTGAGAACAAAGGACCTTGGACCTGACATCTTTCATTCACTACCCACTTCAGGAAAGGGGGCTTCTCCTTCCAGGACTGACAATCAGGCACTTACATCACTCAAAAATCAAGCTACACTTGATTAAAGCAAGAATGAGACATTTCATATATGGCAAAGGAGGCCAAACCCTTTGAGGTATAAAATGTATTTCTCTATCTGAAGATGAATAACATAGATGAGGCAGTTTTGAACTATTAATTCACCAAAAACTGTACTAGTTTCCATCTGTTTGTATATAGCCCATTTAAGGGGTGCTTATGATCTGCAAAATTGTTCGGTGGTATTCTCCTTCAGATTAAATTCTGAATTGGCTTTTGCAAAAATTTCATATTAAGAGCCAGGTAGCACCCAAATAACTCAAATTGCCATGCGTCCTATCCTCAATGAAAACATTCCAGGCCAAGTGTGTCTTTAAGCCAGGAAAGCTATAAAAATAATGATTATTTTAATCTCTATGTACTTCCTTGGGGTGAAAAAGGGCTGGAACATTTTGGGTACATGTTTGTTGAATGGACTATAAAATAATTATTGGATATTTTCAAGGACAGCAACTAATAAATCCTATGGAAAAGAACAAAGCAGAAGCCAAAAATATGCAAAGTATAAATGTTCAAAGTTCCAGAATGTCAACTCAGTCCAACTTCTTAAGTAAGTCATCTACTAACACTCAGTCTGTCTTCCCCTCTGTTCCTGACAACTCCCAATTTCATATCATTTGCAAATTCAATTAGCCTGCTCTTTACTCCCGTCACATAACCCATCTGACCTCCTCTGTCTTTCTGCTCCATTTCACCCTTCTATCCCCATAGACGCTCCTAGTAACAGAGGAATACATTTTGTAAGTCCTATTCATCTCTACTTTCTATTTTCTTTGCTGTGCTCAAAAGACGCATGCTAAGAGGACAAATAGATATATATGTGCATTTTGGTACCTAAATAGAAATTCTCTGGAATAGTTTTGTCCCACTTCTTATTATTACCTAATCTATGCAAAAATTGGATAAGTTTATACACAGATTAATAATTTTACATGCAGCATTTCTATGTGTATTTATTATTTATTATCTACAAAGGCCACATGGGGAATTTGATGTTATATGGCTGTGACATCAAATTCATATTGTGTGTCTCAGTGTGCACAGCAAAAATAAATTTGTCTTGGACTCTAAGCTACCTGCGTGGTTATAGGCACAAATATCATTAAATAAAAAGTATTTATATGTTGGTGTTGACCTTTTAATTAAATGGAAATGGCCAGTGTCAATCATCTATTGACAGGTATTTACATAGCAAATAATTATAGGGTAAAGAGATTATTTCAGTTATAAAATCAGAGGGCAAGTCATGCAAACTTTAGAAATAGAGTCACCAAGTAATCTGTAAGAACATGTAATTGCTATGTTTTTAACTGGCATTTACCAAGAAAAACTAAAATCTTACGGTAAGTAATATTGTGAAGCGACTTGTAATTAAAGGCATTAGTATAATTTTTATTTTCTTAGTGATTAGGAGTTTGAAATCTCTAACAATATTTTCATTCTTACTCAACGTGTGAAAGAATTTTAGAGCATCTCACCATAGAACTCTTTGTACAAGTACTTTGCTCTGTTTTTACAGAGCTAGGACATTTCAAAGCTGTCTCGGGGATCATCTCAGCTCATCCTGATTTAAGCCGCGAGGGCAGCAATTCATAGCTTTCAATGCCCTAGAAATAGTATTTCTTGAAAATTCCATGTCCAGCAATAATAAAGACAGTGGTGAAACTATGAAGAATCATCTCAACACAATTTCTGACCATTTGATAATTTGATGCATATATTTTTAAAAATATTATACCTTCATATAAAGGTGTTTGGATTTTGGCTCCAGAGATTGGACCAACTATCAGAACTCTACCCTCTTCCCTCCCTCCTTGTCTCTAGACTCACCTATAGTTACAAATCACTATTCAGTCTTCCAATTCCCTAAATTTCAACCTTTTATAATGAAGAGGGCATCAGTTAGGACTGATTGCTAAAAATTCAAATAACACTTTTGCTGGAGTCATTTTCTCAAAAGTTACCTTTCATGTATTTACGTAATAATGTTCTTGATGTCCCACCGTTTAAGTTTAAGTGGATATGAATTCAGACTACTGTAGGTCTACAATACTGATAGTTTATGTATCACAACTGCTCCAGATTAACTCACTGCTCTGGCATTGTATCTTATGTATATTTTGACTTACACGTTGCTGAAATTTAAGACGGAATGTTAATGGATCTGGGCATCAAATGAGATCCTTCCCAACTCTGTCAGTAAAATAAACCAGGAGATGGAGAAGATGTGAACAGTACAAATGGAAATTGAAAGGAACTCTCAAACTCAAAACATACCTTTTGAAGCTATCAGTAAGTGATTATTCAAGTGGATGTATATATACTTGTTTTAATAATGTCACCTTTCACCTGTCATTTGGAGAAGTACAAATTCAAATAGTTTTAACTTTAGAAGAAATGATGGACAGTGAGAATTCTGTGAAGAAAACCTACTACCACCAGATTCCATAATATTGGCACTTCCACAGACTAAATCATAACAACCAAAGAGATAGAACAGTGTTGAACACTCTCTATGTGCCAGGCAAATGCAGTGCTTCATGTCTTTTAACTCATTAACCCCTTTATTCAAATGGAAAAACTAAGGCATAGAGATAGAATTCTCACTTCTGGAGACTTTTATATTTATGCCAAACTTCAGCATGTTTCTGTTTCAAGCAATGCTAGCTTCAGAGGGACCAAAGTTTTTATTTCTTATTGTGTCTTTTTCTTCTTTCATTATCTTTATGAATCCAATTTTCAGAAAATAAAGTTTGATATTAATCTGGCTTCATACACTGAATAAAAGCTTAGAGAAAATATGCATTTGGCTATATAAATATACACACACAATGCATTGTTAAAACTAAGTGCCCTTTCTTTTTTTCCATTTTCTTTGCTTAAACACTCCTCATAAAAATGGTATTTCTTGGCAAGAAAAGCCATTTTTCCTTTATGTCAGAGTCACTGTTAAGTTCACATTTGTATTTGCAAGTTCTGTTTCCAACTTTCCACTCTAGCTCTATCCCCCACAGCAAGAAGAAAATCACGGCATTTGCATATTGTGTTTATGAAGTAGAGTAGCTGTCTTAGAGAGAAGCACTAAGGGGTTAGAAATCATGAACATACACACTTGTTGTCGCAGAATCCTGATCCAACATATTTGTACTCTACTTTTATATATTTCTCTGCTTTCAATTAAGATGCCCTATTAAATAGCATTCAAACATGTGAAAGCAAAGACAGAGCCTGACAGAATTTCAACAGGTTCTGTGCATTCATACTGTATGTCACCTCTTAATTAGCAACCAAAATGCAATGAACAGATTGTACAGTTTACCATCGTAGCCCAGCTCCTACACTTGCTATTTGTGCGTATACAGCATATTTAAAGAGACCCCATCCAGTGGGATTCTCATACTCGCTCCATCCCTGGAACAGAACCACCATCAACTAAATGCCACTTCATGGATGCCTTAGCCTGCGGCAGCAGCTGGCATTACCAAGCAGTTGAAAGGACATTTTAATCTCCTGTTTAATGCATTTTTCTCCACCTGGGATAAGAAGCCAAAATTGCTGTTAGCAAAAAATGCCTTAGTCATTAACTGAAAGTGTCTTTTTAAAAAGTGTTCCATTACTCCCCTACTGGGAAATTTCAGACTTTATTAGCATTTTTTGAATTTGTATTAGTAGTACCTGAATGGTAAAATGCTAACGGATGAACACTTAGCTATTTTCCACAGATTTTGCTTTTGGGCTCTCCTTGTACAGGAGCAAGACAAGAGAAAAGGGTCAATATATTGCACTCCTCATCTAGCTTTCAGTATTGAAGTTCATAGTCAAAAGAATCCTCTTAATTTTCTATTATTCTATTCCTGCAGAACCACAAAAGAATGGATTTAAGGACTCTCTTTTACCTAAGGGCAACTAAGAGGATATTAAATGTTCTTTAAATGCAAGTCTTGTATATTTAAATCACATGCATGCTGGGCTGACATTACCTTGCTTTGGTGATCAGACTGCATTGAATTCAGGCTGGAAGAAAATAGAAATTCTTCCATTGAAACACATGCTGTTAGTGAGTGGGTTGGTCTGTCATTTCAGCAGGAGAAATCTAACATTAAAAAAATAAGAACCATCCAAACAATGACTTTAATAAAACACAATTTAAGTTGCGACTTGTTCACATTTTTGTTTGTTTTGCTTGTGTCTACTAAAAACCCACCTAATTTTTAGAAGCCTTCTGAAATATCAGGCAAGCCTGATAGAGTTGTGGTTTGTTTTGGTTCAGTTTCTGTAAGATCTGCATTCATTAGTCATGGGCTAAAATAAATAAATATATAAGTGTAGTATAGCCCTTTGGGTCCCAAGTTGAAAATATATTGAAATTTTCTACCAAAATACTGACAATCTAGTAGAATCCGGTGGGAAAAAAATACAAGTTCAAAACATATTTTGAAAGCAAAGTATCCAGTATTCATTCCTTGCTTTGTTATCATATTCAACCAATTAAGCAATATATTGTCATCTTATATAACTGCCCCAGAGACCTTCTTTCTGACTGCAGTTTTACTTCTGCTATTTCCTCATTTGGTAACAAAGCAAGCAAGTCTCTTTTGATATGCAGAAACTATGGTTACCTTAAAGTATCAGTGAAAATACAATCTTTTTCTAATAAATGGTAGAGGCAACAGGGAGAAAGAAAGAATATTGGATCTAATAGGGATTAAGGCTAACAGCAAGGCACAAGTTCCCAGGGATGTGTGTTTTCTGGAGAGGTATGAAACATTGGTGGCGCTGAGCCTGAGTTACAGAATATATAATGGGATATCAATAATCAGGCATTTTTAAAATTGCTCTTTATTATTTGAATACTAAGAACTCATAATTAAAATAACATTGCAAGTCACTAAATAGTAGCCTTCAGTGGCGTGGCATAACTATTCCAACCCAATTAGCTATATCTCTGCTACATCCCTGCCTGTAAGCCTGACCAAAAATATAAGCAGCTTAGCTATGGTGGGCAACAACAAAAAGCCATTTTTCGTAGCTTATAAGAATGTATAGGCAGATAGATAGATGATAGATAGATAGATAGATAGATAGATAGATAGATAGATAGATAGATAGATAGTAGCTCGATAATCAGATTCCATTGAGGTGTTAATCTTCCCAAAGCGGTCCTCTAAGTGAATCATCAACAAATTTAACTGCATCTGTTATGCAATATGGCTTCATTGTGCATTATTCAAAATTGTAATAGAGATTTCTAGAGCATCCAATTATGACTTCTCTTTTATAATTTAATTGAAAAGTTTCCATAGTTAGAAGACCACAAACACATTGTGGCCTTTGAAGTGGAAGTGAATGGAATACTTTTTCACAGCATCCAACTGTACTCTCAAATTCTATACTCAACTATATGGGTGTTTTCTAAGATTTTAACTCATGAATGAACACCTTTCACAGAAGCATGCACTTTTGCAAAGCACTTTTATTATTTTCTAAAATTTCTTTATCATTCAATGTGTATATATGAAATGTAATAAAAGTATTATTTTGAATAATATTTTTTAAAGTTATATTGGCATGTTAGAAAAGATTGAATTATAAAATTGATTTTCATATTCTGATAAGTTTTATAGCATGTAAAGATAGATTTCAACCTTTCCTACATAGCAAGTGATTCATAACATTTTCCGTAACTTAGCTGTGTTATGAAAATATCTTCATCTTTAATAATTTTAAAATGATATATCTGAGTTGGAGACTGAAAGTCTATCAGCATGTAGACTGAAATATAACTATTTCTAATAGAAAGTAAACAAAACTTCTTAACTGAACTACTAATTTGAGTTTTCACATTTTTCATTAAAAACTTTCTAAAATAGAACAGGTGCAGTAGCTCACACCCATAATCCCAGCACTGTGGGAGGCAGCGAGATGAGCGAGATGAGAGAACCACTTGAGGCCAGAAGTCTGAAACCAGCCTGGGCAGTGATAGTGACACTGTCTCTACAAAAAAAAAAAAAAAAAAAAATAGGCTACAGTAAGCTGTGATTGTGCCATTGCATTGCAGCCTGGGCAACTGAGCAAGGCTCTGTTTTTTTTTTTTTAAGATAAGAAAAGATAAGAAACAACTAACTTTTTAAAATGTAATATTTATGCTTTTTTCTTCCAAATAACTATTTTAAAAATTTAGGTTATTTGCAAACACTTGTAAACAAATGACACAGGATGGGTATATAAGGAGAGGCTTCATCTCAATAGATAAGATACAAATCAGATGCATTTATCGTGTATTTTTATTTTAACATTGGCTTTTTTCAGTACTTGGGACAAATCTTGATGTGCTACTTAGGATTCTGATCAGATAAAGTAACTGAAAATCATCTTTAGACAATTTGATAGGGTTATATTCTCCTTACACTTCTTTGTTTCACTTTGTTATGTTTACTGTCTTTTATCAATATTATATTATCTGTTAAAAAAAGAAATATTATATGACTAAGAATAAACATCTGAAATTATATAATGGTCAACGGTCACAATTCCTAGGAGTTTTTGGTTGATTAACAAGTGGAATGATTGAGTCATGACACCACTCACAACTTAATCGATATGTTTTAGAAACTGTTCACACTACTCTATTTCAAAGGGGGAAATTATTTGCCTAACAGTTTCATCAATTTGAAACTTTAAATGGAAATAGATATTATTATCACCATTAAAAATGTGACCTCATATTTTTATTATGTTAATATTTTTGAAAATTTCTGGGATCCTATGTTTAAGGAACTTAAAATCCTCTAAGAGCTAATTGAAATTACCATGCTCCATATTCCTCACATTCCAGGCAGAGCTCGAGACTGAACCATGGAATTGCCTCATGGGAGGATTCCTTAATTTATTTATTCAACACAGTACTTTGTGAGATCCACTATGAAGCTAGGCAGTGAGCTAGAATTTGAGGATAAGGAGATTAAGACAGAATTCTCACTTTCAAGCAATTAATTGGCTAATTGAGGCATCAGAAACAAATAAAAGTAACACAGTTTTGCTAAATGGTAAACCGTGTAGGGGACAGTTAAGGAAATCCTCACAAAGAATGTCACACTAGAGTTATGTCTTCAAGTGTGAGCAGAAGTGCTTTAAGCAACACCAGATGGGAAGGGGCATTTCAACACAGGAGTGACATATATGAAGCAAAACATGGCCATTTAGGAGTTATTTGAGTAAATCTGCTTTTCAAGTCCACTTGTAAAATTGAGAGTAGGCTGGGCGCGATGGTTCATGCCTCTAATCCCAGCATTTTGGGAGGCTGAGGCGGGTGGATCACCTGAGGTCAGGAGTTTGATACTGGCCTGACCAACATGGTGAAAGCTTGTCTCTACTAAACACAAAAAAATTAGCCAGGCGTGGTGGTGCATGCCTGTAATCCCAGGTACTCGGGAGGCTGAGGCAAGAGAATTGCTTGAACCCAGGAGGCGGAGGTTGCAGTGAGTGGAGATTGCGCCATTGCACTCCAGCCTGGGCAACAAGAGTGAAACTCCGTCTCAAAAAAAAAAAAAAAAAAAAAAAAAAAAAAAAAAAAAAAAAAGGAAAAGGGTGAGAATACATACGGTGGAAGAGGTCATGAAAAACCTGGTCTACTAGACAGAGAATCTGGGTTTTATATATAGGTAATGAAGATACTGATGGGATTTGAACACCGAAATAAAGTGACCAGATGTGTTTTAGAAAGATGATTCCTGACTGTCAGGGCTCTTCTTTCCCTTTATACCCTCTTTGCCTCTGATGCTCCCATCACCAACACTTGAGAGAAAAGTGGAACTATAAAATATTGATAACATTCAATCTAGCTGTTTGGTTATTTGGAGAGAAAAAGAGGTTTGAATGAGTTTGAACACACTGGATTTTTAAACTTAGATGTTCAGTGAACATATTAGATGTTCAGTGACCAGCATGAGGATTATTGCTGGTTTTTTTTTTAAAATGCTCAACCAATATTCTTTGATATAATTTTATTTGCCTATCATCTAAATCTGGCACAAACATGTCCCCCAAGTATCAAAAACAGGAGTTGTGTTCAATATGTAAAATGTTAAGTAATATTCGCCATTTTGTAGTTTCCTAAAAACGTGTTTACTTGAAATTGCAGCCTAAAAAGTAAATTTCACTTTCTTGTGACTCCACAACATTGTTTATCCAACTTTAAACATAAAAATATATAAGGCGTGTATTCATTTTATGCATATCCCATTTTTTAAAGTTTTAAACTTTATTCATGTAGAAACCATTAACACTCATGGGGACACTTATGGGGAACTGGAAGATATGACACATGAATGTCCACGTCAGTCTGTGTTGAGCAGAACACTTTGGTGTTTGAGGAATCTATTTTATAGAAAATCTTAAGCTGTGGAGTCAAGGTCACAACCAAATATTCAAAACCCTCAGGTGTTCTTTCCTTATTGTGGACATTCTGTAGGTTGCAGCCACGTACCAGGAACTGTGTTAGACATACCCCGTGCAGCTTGTCTAATCCTCACAACTAATGAAAAAGAGTTAAAGTAGCTCCCCCTTATCTGAAGTTGCACTTTATGTGGTTTCATTTACCTGTGGTGAATTGTGACCCCGAAATACTAAATGGAAAATTCCAGAAAAAAATAATTCACAAATCTTAAATTGTCAGCTGTTCTGAGTAACATAATGAAATCTCTCATCATCACAAGACTTCCCACTCCATCCCAACTGGAAAGTGAATCATCTCACTGTATTCACACTGTATATGGTACCTGCAGTTAGCCACTTAGTAGCTGTCTGGGTTATCACATTTAAAAAAATAGTATAAAATAAACAAGAAAAATAATAAAAATATAAAACCAAAAAGAAAACCCCCATAACGTAGTAAATGTAGAGTTCAGTACTATCTGCAGATTCAGGCATCCACTAGGGGTCTTGGAACGTACCCATTGTGGATAAGAGGGGACTGCCATGAATCCATAATTGAGTATGAGAAAACTAAGGGTCAGAAAAGTTACATAGGTTTTTCAAGCATTCTCTCTCCCTGCTATACCTTCAGGTGAGAACCTGATATCTATAAATATTTTCCTTCATCTTCTTGATTGTAATCACTGATTTTCCTGATCTAGGAAGCAGCCTTGCCCTATCCTATCAGGTTCCTTATTTTAATATGACAGCTTGATTAATATTTTACATCTCATTTTTGACCTTGCAACCTGATTCTGACCTTCTAGATCCTAATCTCAATGTTTAATTTGCTATTAATGCAGGTTCTTAATCTCTCTTCACCATAAATAGAATAATTTGACCCAAATTTAAATTTGCTCAGTCACAGAAATTGCATTCTCCTGAAAGTCACTAACGTAGACAAGACATGACTGGAAGATTTAATTAATAATATTGACATTTTTAAGAAAGCCCAATTCAAAGATTACTCAAAATATTTTCAACTAAAATAAATATAGACAAGAAATAGAAATATTTTTCAGCCTATGTTATGAAGAGCACAGGCATGGAGGGAGGCAAGACTGAGTCTAATTTTTGGTTCTTCCCTAATCACTGTGTGGACCTTGGGAAAGTTACTTAACCTCTCAAAAAGACATTCCCCTTAAAACAGGATTAATAATCAACACTCACATGGCTATTGTGGGGATTAACTTAGTAAATGTGTGAAAAGTCCTAGCCAGAATAAGAGCTCAATGAAAGGATAGAGAGAAAGGCAGAATAGGTTCTGAAGAATAAAGGAAACTTCTCTTGATATTAAGATTTTTAATTTTAGAGTAACAGTGGTTCCTGTCAATAGAAATTTTAACAAATCTTGCTCACTGCCCTCAGCTCTTCCTCCTCCCATTACACTTAAAATGGTTTAATAAGCATAGATGTAAGAGGCCACTGGAAAAAAATCTCTATAATTCAAAGACAATGCCTAGATCAATATCACTGTCCAAATGGGAGGAGCTGATTTGGTCTCTGAAACAATATCCTACCAAGCACTGCATGGTAAGCTATAAGTCATTGTTGAAGACAAAATAAGATACTCATCTGAAATGTCTAAAAGGACATTAGAGAAATACATCCATAACAGCAATGCAGAACTCAGGAACTAGAATCTGAACTGATAGAGAGCAAACCATTCTAGTGGCCCAGGTGGAAAAATATAGAATTGCTGTCCCACAGAAATTAGAAGTGACATCAACATGCTTCATTCTTGAATGCAGTGTGCATATAATACATACTCACTAGGTGCCAGTTGCTGTACCAAAACTTCGATAAAATTAATTCATTTAATTTTGTAAAACTTTTTGGATTACAATAACCACGAGATTATCATTCTCATTTTAAGAGATAAAGAAATCTGACATTCAAGCAACTTGTCGAAGGTCATGCAGCTAGTAAGAAGTAGTGCTGTTGACCCATATGATTCTAAACCCAAATACATGCTGTCCCAAGATCTTAACTGTGACATTCTACTTCAATGGATTTGGTCAAATAAGTGCCTAAAATAGACACCATAGACAGAAGCCTCTTAAAACTTTCATCAGAAATACTTGATTTGGATGTTAAGATAATTTCTGTATTTCTCTTGAAAAATAATTGTTTTCCGTCATATTAGCTTTTCAGCACAAAGGTTTTCATCTATTGAAAAATAAGGAATTGTTTCCTCTTGTAAGTTCCCCAAATAAAAGTTTTACTTAGACTACAATATGCAGTCTTTTAAAGAAAATAGCTATTGTTGGATAAACTTTCATATAATCCAAAAAGATGAAAAGGAAATTAAAATTCAAGATCAAAATCTAATAAACAGGGCCAAGAAAAACTGTTTAGTTGATAGCTACATTTTAGCACCGGAAATAATGGCTGCCATAAATACAACAGACTTCAACAGCTTTGGGAAGCATACACTCTTCTTGTTTCTTCTCACCCCTACTACAGAGAATGTTGTAAAGTATATATGATGCTTTGCTTTCTCATTTTTTCTATACTTTTTAACCATAGCAAAAGTGTTTTTATTCGTCATTCTAAATATTGCTTTCAAGGCACTAGTACTAAATGGTAGTCCTACTATAGATTGCTTTGATTTTAAAGAAATCCCCATTAATGCTCCAGTCAGAGAATTAAAAGGGATGGGAAATAGACCAGCTAAATGAAGGGTTCAAAACAGTGGCCCTATTCAGCACTTGCAGAACCCATTACCACTTCCCAAGATGACAGAGTATTCTTGCAGGTAGACTAGGGAAGGACAAGTCCTGGCTGTCCTGCCTCTCAACAGAGGAAATAAATCACCCTACACACTGGAGGATACCTTTCCAGACTGCACGCTGGGAACTTCATTACACAAGCTGTGCGACACATTACTATGCATATTGTTGCTGATTGGACATAGATGCATATCCACAGACTATTTCTGTCATTGTCTTATGAGGGAGATATCTATTTTTTTCTCTATAGACAGATACAGGCTTGAAAACGACACAAAGAAAATAATACTGTGTGCCCAAAAGATCTCGATCTTTAGCAAAGTATTCTCTTGACTGATGATTTGTCTAACTTGCCCGAACCTCATCTCCTGGTGCATAAAACATGATCCTTTGATTATAAGATTGTTTGATAGTCACACAATCTTATTTGATGTGAATATGATTGTTATCAAACATAAGTCTTATTGCTCCGGGTCTTCACCTCATTAAAAAGAGGGCAAAGTATTTCCCAGTAGAAGAATTTTCAGTTCCTGTTCTTCATTGGTAATCCTTTCAGTTGATTCATGAAAGACAAACTTTATTTACTTAATTTTGTGTATATGCCATGAATGTAGCTTAATCTAATTTAGACCCGTTGTGATAATGAAAAAAAATTGCAAAGGAAGACAATCTTCAGGCTGGAAGTACAGTGTCAGTTTTGAAGTCAACAACATAAAATTAATGAACCAAAGGAATACAATTAATGAACATAACTATTAGCAAGCTTCCTGTAGTTTGAAAACACTAATGTAAATTTAGATAGAGTGTCTTCAAATTTAGCCACTCCTTAGGGAATATTCTGTGGCAAAACATCTTTGCCATTCCTGGTTTGGTGGAATAATATTGTCCATTGAAAAATACATGGGATGATCTTGTTGGTATGTGTGACCCTAAGCATTGTAAAAGTAAAGGTATACAGGTATTTCCTTGAATCTTAAGCCAAATTAATTTTGTGAATAAAATGAAGCTTCTATAGTTCCATTAATTAGAATCTGTCAATATAAAAAAGAAAAACTAACAAGGGCTTAATATACCAATTATCAGTTCTTAAATGTTGCTTGTGGACAAAAGATATTAATAATTTAGATTCTACATTCCTTTCCTGCCAGACTGGCATAGTATGCCATTTAAACCTGTCTTTATAATCTTAGGAGAGATGATTGTCTTTAAACAGTGTTTCTGCTTTGGTTAACATTACTTCATTGCTCATCAAATAAATGCTTCCAAAACTCTGTGAGACTCCAAAGATGGTCTTCTTTGGTGTAGCACCTGTCACATGATGCATTTATACAAACAAGTGACTCCTAAAAGACTTAACTTTTTTGCATCAGAAATAAATTTGCAGGCTGGGTGCAATGGCTCCTGCCTGTAATCCCAGCAATTTGGCAGGCCAAGGCAGGCGGATCACTTGAGGTCAGGAGTTCAAGACGAGTCTGAGAGATATGGTGAAACCTGTCTCTACCAAAAATACAAAAAATTAGCCGGGCATGGTGGTGTGCGCTTGTAGTCCCAGCTACTCAGGAGGCTGAGATGCTCAGGAGGCTGAGATGGGAGGATCCCTTGAACCTGGGAGGTGGAGGCTGCAGTGAACCAGGGTCACGCCGTCACACTCCAGCCTGGGTGACAGAGCAAGACTCCATCTCAAAATTAAACAAATAAATAAATTTGCATTTTTTGAACATCACACATTATTTTCTGTCAATTGGCATTTGGAGTCTGAGTTTATGGGTCTTGGTAATAACTTAGTCTGTTTTCTTGTAAACAGACTTACTTAATTCTCAAAAATAAGAAAAAAAATAAGCATAGTTCAATCTGACTTTCTATTTTTGTATTTTTAATTCTTATTTATTTATTTATTTATTTATTTTTGAGGCAGAGTCTTGCTCTGTCACCTGGGCTGGACTGCAGTGGCATGATCTCACTGCAACTGCTGCTTCTCAGGTTAAAGTGAGTCTCCTACCTCAACCTCAAGTTGCTGGGATTACAGGTGTGCACCACCACGCCCTACTAATTTTTCTATTTTTAGTAGAGACGGGGTTTTGCCATGTTGGCCAGACTGATCTCGAACTCTTGACCTCAGGTGATCCGCCAGCCTCGGCCTTCCAAAGTGCTGGGATTATAGATGTGAGGCACCGTGCCCAGCTTCAATCTGACTTTCTTATTTCAGTTTCTTGTATCACATTCTATGATCTCAAAGTGTTAGAGGAAAAGTTTCCAACAAATTTCTTAGTGGGGAAAAATGTCTAGAACTAACACACAAATTTGGACTTTATATCTCCCAAGTGCATTATCCAGAATTATGTTTTAGCTGAAAATCTAATCATATGTTAGTTAAATACATATATATACATATACATATACATATATACATATATAGTATATATATGTATGTGTATATATACATATATGTATACATAAAAAATCTGTTGCTTTCAATGATAATATTCATGCAGAAAAAATGTGATTTCTTATCATAAATAGTCTGTTTTCTCTCTTTATCCAAATAATTTATTAAAATTAGGATTTTTGAAGATCTGACATTGGTGAAGATGTATAATCATTTGACTAAATATTTTCAATTCCTGGACTGACAGCAATGTTGAAACTACATATTTTTAAATTCCTGTTGTTTATTTATTTGTGTTTTCTAAATAAAACAGGTGTTGGCAGAATACGATTAACAAAGAAACAAAGGTGATGGGATGGTGGAGGGCTCAATGACACTGCAGAAGACACTGGAACTGCCAGGAAGAAAACATAATCAGCAAAGGACCCAGTCTTTGCTTTAATATCATCAGTCGCTAGAGATCATGATCAACTGTGATGCAGGTGTGACTCATCGTGTTTTCATGGTGAACCATGGCTGACTCAGGCAAAGCACTGATGAAGACAAACACAGGGACAATTCTAAGATGTTATGCAATCATTCCTCATCTTATAAAAGAAATTTTTTAAATAAATAATATTTAGAAAAATCATCAAAACTTACGTTCAAATCACCTTTTAATAGACTACTTTATCCACTTAGATGTATCAACTTATGTCTTAAAATAGAAGATGAATTCATACTGGTTTCTTTGTACTCAGGTCTTCCATAACATTGTGGATATTTAGGTGTAGAAATGTTCACCTCATTCAAGTGCTATCGTAGTTTTAGGTGCTTGCACAGAAAGATTTTTTTCAGAGACTACATTATCTTCTTCTGGGAACAGGAAAATATTTTTCTTAGCCTGCTGTCCTCAGGCCATTGACTAACTTCCTCTGTCCAGGCTTTCAGGGATGGCCAGCACCATTTCTAATAGGTACACCACTGCCATTGGCAGTAGAAGAGCCATAACAGCAATGCATTCTCTGAGATGTTCCCTGCTCCTAGACACATCTATGAATGTCATCCAGTCCCATTTTGATACAGTTGTGCCAAGTTATATAACTGTATTAGCCTGCTTGGGCTTTCTTAACAACATACCACAGGCTAGGTGTTATAAACAACAAAAAATAATTTTCTTACTGTCTAGGCTCTAGAAAACCAAGATCAGCATACCAGCATTGTTGGGTTCTGGCAAAGGCTATCTTCCTGGCTGGCAAATGGCCATCTTTCTGGATGTATCTTCACGTGGCGGAGGGAGAGCAAGCTCTCTGGTATCTCTTCTTATAAGGGCTCTAATTTCATCATGAGCATTTCCCCCTTGAACTTCATGTAACCCTAATTACTTTCCAAAAGCCACCACCTCCAAATACTACGACATGGGAAGTTAGAGCTTCAACACATGGATTTTAGGGCGGACACAATTCAGTTGGTAGCAATTCTAATTTTCTGCTTAACAATAAGATTGTTAAATAACCTCATTACAATCAACTCCTTGCGAAGGAAAATAAGATTTATCGGTTTTTCTCAGGGTTTGTGCAAATTGTCTAAAGAAAATCCTGAGCATTTTAACATAAATGTATGTGTGTCTCCTAGAAGACAGCAATAACAGAGTTTTTGTGTAGAAGAGGGTAAATGAAAACAATTGGCTTGTAAATGGTAACTTGAAGACCATTCTGGAAAATTTTATCTGGTAAAAAAGATGATGGTGGGGACTAGTGGGTCATTTTGACTGGCAAGGAAAGATAAGAATTAGTGGCACCCTTTTGCAACAATTCTCTTTTGAGGCATATGGAATTAAGAAATCACCTAAAACCTGCTCAGTGCCCATTATTAGCAGAAACTCCAATAGAGTTCCAATATAACAACCTCTGGCCATTTCCAACCTATCTACAGTTACTTTTGCCAAATCTCCAAACCACCTCTACTTTTATTTAGTAAGCATAGTTTCTTAACTAGAAACATATGAAATGAATACGAGACAAAGCACTGGTTAGAAAACACTGATTTCTACAGGTTCTGAAGACTATATGTTTAATGGAGGTTTTAAAGACAGCACCCAATTGTGAGCTTTTTCTTGAGGTACCATAGGATTTTTAAAAGATAATATATTTCTTACTTTGTGACTCGATGTTATTTAAAGTTCAAATTGCACCACCTGAAAACATCTTTTACCCTCTGCATTTATACTTGTACCCTCTACATTCTAGTAAATGCTGATCTACATTATCAAAATATGTTTAGGACATAGGACCCACCCCTTTGAAGTTTACAGTGCACTCATGGAGAAAAGACAAGCACAACCATAATTATAGTATATAATACATCAATGAAAAGAGATAAGTAACCCAAGGAAAGTATACAATATTATAGAAGAGCAATTTAACGAAAGCAACAATGGATTCCTTCTGACTTGGAACTCAAAAAAGACCTAATGAAAGATGTGTTGTTTGATACAGTATTTAATTCTTTAAGGATTAACAAATTATTATTATCAATTGCCAATGGTTAAAAGGCAGCATTTGTTTTTTCTTTTTTTTTTTTTTAAGATGGAGTCTCGCTCTGTTGCCCAGGCTAGAGTGCAGTGGCACGATGTTGGTTCACCACAACCTCCGCCTACCGGGTTCAAGCGATTCTCCTGCCTCAGCCTCCCAAGTAGCTGGGTCTACAGGCACATGTCACTATGCCTAGCTAATTTTTGTATTTTTAGTAGAGACAGGGTTTCAGTAGGTTGGCCAGTCTGGTCTTGAACTCCTGACCTCGTAATCTGCCTGCTTCGGCCTCCCAAAGTGCTGGGATTACTGGCATGAGCCACCATGCCTGGCCACAGAAAGCATTTTTAGAAGCAGGACGGTATCTAGCATGTTCAGAAAATGGTATGCACTTCAATTAAGACATTAGGTAGTATATAGGAGTAGAATAAGAAAATGTTAGAGAGGTTGAGGCAGAGTGTAGGATACATTGTTCCAAGATAAGTAATTTGGCCATTTGGGGGCAGAGAGTAATCTGATAAGAACTATGGAGTCAGATTAATTTCACAATACGGTACAGAATAATTGGTGATGACAGACTTAAGATGGAAAGACTATTGTTGTGATCCAGAAAAGAAACAGTAGAGATCTGATTAGACTAGTGACAATGGAAACACCAGTGGTAACAACAAGAATAATAATAGCCATAATTATTAAGGCCTTCCACAGTGGGCACTGTATCAAAGCCCCTTTCATGGACTGCCACATTAATATTGATAAGAACTCTTTGAGGTATGTAATATTTTCATCTTCATTTTATAAATGAGAAACAGACCAAAGATCCCATACAGAATTGAAGTTTAGATACAGGTCACTTAATTCTAAAGGCTCAGCTTTTAACTATAATGCTATACTATATGGAAATGTACAAAAGTAGCTCATTTAGAGCTATTATAGTGTCAAAGTGAAATGGCTTGTGACTTATTTGATGTAAGAATTAAGGAAGAGGTCAAGGTTAATACTAAAGATGTGAGCATAGGCAAATGAACTGATATTGAAAAGAGGAAAATTAGACAAAGGGACAGTACTAATAGAATACCCAGGAGGTAACATAAAAATATAATAACAATGCTTTGTAATTTGGAGAAAAATTAAGGTACCAACTTTAGTGTATGACTGTTACTGTGCCTGACTTCTGAGAATATGATCCAATTTTGCCCTAAAGTTACTTCTGTTCTAAGAATCAAATATCTGGAAATGGAGAATAGAGTTTCGCTAATTTTTTTCTAATACAACTTTAAGTACCTTTATTTCAAAAGAGATGCTTTTCTATTTTATCTTTTAGGAAGAGGAATTGTATTTTTTTATTTCCTCATTAGTAAGCTCACTGCTATTTGTAACATTCTTTATGCTTTACAGTAGCAATTATACTTTCTAGTCCCCTGCCTAGCTTAATTAATGTCTAGTTTGTTAAAGAAAGAAGTATCTTCAGCTTTACTCTAGGGTAAGGAACAATGTAGCTACAAACTACTGATGATGGATCAGCCTGGGGACTAATCATTAGGTATATCCCGGCAGTGTGTAATATTAATTTGTGCTTATATTATTTAAATGAAAATCATGTTTGATCCTCCATCTCTCTTTTAGAGTGAAGACCTAAAATTCCCTCAGATGCATCCAAGAAATCATCTAGTCAAGAGTAGGGATGATAGGTCTAAGTACAAGAGAAGAGTTCAGCTTCAGGCTACTTGGGTACTAGTAAAAGCTAACATTTTCAGTGTGCCAGGCAACATTCTAATTGCATTGCATATATTTGTGGCTTTATTCCTTCCATATTTTTGAGGCAGATATTGTTATTGTTTGCTATTATACACCTGTGGAAAATCTGAAACACTGAAATGTTGTTGAACTAGAAGGTTGTAGAGCTGAGTTTCAAATCAGTCACTATGATTACAAAACTCATGTTCTTACACTGCCTCTTAGATTTAGTCCTATTAAATACCAGCACCTAAGCTTAATATACATATGATACTTGTTTACATGAAATAGTAAAAATAGGTTTAGTTAAATATCTATAAAATTCAGCTTTAAAGAGTAAGAAACTGCTACAGGAGAAAAGTAAAAACTTGAATTGTTCATCTGTTCAACACAATTTATTGAATACCTGCTACATTTAATCATCCAAATATATGACCACCCTTTATAGGATTTACCAGATACTTGGTTAAAACCACAACATTTTGCCATTTTTGCACAGAAAAAAATGGCCATTTAATTACCATGAAATATTTGCCCTGAACAAAATTTTTAAATAAAAGTATTTGTTCTCATTCTTTTGATGAGGAGAGTTTGGGTGGCAATTACGACAAGACAATTACTAAGTCACTAAATTTCGTGGTATGACCAGCATATGCTCTTGATTTATAGCTTTGAAAACGAACTGCTGATAAGCCAATTGTTTTCCTCCTAGGCCTTTATGTGTTAGCTTGCCCAAGAGGAATCACACCTCAGTGATCACTGAATATCTCCAGGAATCCATTATGCATTCAAGCGTCTTTCTCCTGAGTGGTAAAGTTCTGCTTGTTGAAACACTGAAATGACCTCTGCATTAGTCAGGGTTCTCTAAAGGGATAGAACTAATAGGATGGATGAATATATGGAGGAGTTTATTCAGAGAATTGATTCACAGGATCACAAGTTGAAGTCCCACAATAGGCTGTCTGCAAGCTGAGGAGCCAGGAAGCCAGTCCGAATCCCAAAACCTCAAAAGTAGGAAAGCCAATAATACAGCCTTCAGTCTGTGGCCGAAGGCCCAAGAGCCACTAGCAGATCACTGGTGTAAGTCCAAGAGTCCAAAAGCTGTAGAACTTAGAGTCTGATGTTCGAGGGCAGGAAACATCCAGCATGGGAGAAAGATGGAGGACAGAAGACTCAGCCAGTCTGCTCTTTCCATGCCTGCTTTTATGCTGGCAGCTGATTAGATGATGCCCACCCAGATTGAGAGTAGGTTTGCCTCTCCGAGTCCACTGATTCAAATGTTAATTAATCTCTTTTGGCAACACCCTCACAGACACACTCAGGAGCAATACTTTGCATCTTTCAATCCAATCAAGCTGACACTCAGTATTAACCATCACAACCTCCTTTACCAATGGAAACAGGTAGAAATAGCAGCTAGTAGAGGCAAGAGATGGACCCTTACCTTCTCTCATCCCAGAGGAAGTGTTCCTTATATACTTTTAGTTCCAAGAGACTGTATTTCTTTTTTCTCCTGTTATTTTCTCAGATAACTTTCATCTCTCTCATGTTTTCTTAACTTTGAGTGTCTAAACATCAAAGAATTTCTCCTGGGATAAAAGAAAACAAAGCTAATGCAAACAAATACACATTTTCAATGGGTCTGAAAAAATCCTATCTTGATGAAAGTTAGACTCTTATCCTAAAGCCATTATCTGCTACTCTGCACCACCCATCCCAGATGTAATAATCATACCAAATATGTGTTTTAGTGGATTGAAAAATAGACAATGCTCCTAAAAAGGGCAGCAGTCAATTATTTAACTTAAGAATGACATTTTGTCCTCTTAATTAGAAGTACAAAATGTCACTGTTTGTGGAATAGCAGCAGTTGAAACAAAATTCTTCTGCTTGATCTAGGATACAAAAAAACATAGGAAGTCTTTTTCAAAAGGTATAAAATAATTCTTGCAGTGTTCAAACTCTGTAGTTTACTTTACCTAACTCCTTTGACTCAATCTATAGCTTGTCCTCTGTTTCAATAGCATGCAGTCTGAAATGAACAATATTTTCATTTCGGCTATAAGCTACTATTTGTACTAGATGAAATTTCACATGGCATAATATGTATGTTTGTATTTATATCAATTTCACTTCCTGACTGGGATAGGCATGAATTGCTATGTGTTATTAAATAGATGCCAGATTTTACCCTTGACTTGATGTGTTTCAGTAATGGATGAAAGCTTGGGAAGTTGGGGAAGTCTTTGGCAATTGTTAAAGATGAGCAGAATTGTATTAGTGAACATATTACAATTTCACAAAAGATAGCTACTAGTTCGTTTTTACAAGTCTCATAAATAGCATAGATGGTATAGCTATGCTCTGGAATTTTCCAGATATATCATTCTACAAATGATACTTCCAATATGCATTTTTTGTTTTCAGGAATGAAGGAAATTTCAGTCTCATTCAAAGTGTAATTCAATGCTATCAAATAGTCATTTCTAATCCTTTTTTAAAGAATCTCCAGAGGCCCTTTCATCTTCCCAAGAGTACTGTTAGGAAATGTAGAAGAGAATCTGAAAAGGAAAGAAAATTAACTTAAGTCAGTTTAATTTTACAGTAAATATTTTTTACAAGAAATCAGGTAAACAGATGATTGTGGGAATTCCAAAAATTTTGGTAAAAATGTCAAAGTCTAACTTACCCAGTTGTAGAATAAATGTTCTTTTCATCTTCCTACTAATTGTTTTTTATTTATTATTTACTACAATGCTAATATTAATGAATTTATATGAAAATGAAGTCTATATTATCAACAACGAAACATGAAGTCAAGAGTTATGCTTGTTCTTAGCTCAGGCTGCTATAAAAATTACCATAGACTAGATGGCTTGAACAACACCATACATTTATTTATCATTGTTCTAGAGGCTGGAAGTCTGAGATTAGGGTACCAGCATGGTCTAATTCTTAGTAAAGGGCCTTTCTTTGCCTGGTTTATAGATATCTTCTTATTGTAACCTCACATGTCAGAAAACAGAGAGAGAGAGAGTGCAAGCTCTCTTCTTTCTCTTCTTATAAAGGTACAAATCCTGCCCATGCGGACTTCACTCTCATGACTTTATTATCTCCCAAAGGCTGCACTTCCTAATACCATCACATTGGGGGTTAGGATTTCAACATATGAATTTTGAGGATGTATAAACATTCAGTCCATAAGAGTTAGCAAAAGGAATTAATCATAAGAGACTGGATTGTGTCCTCACAAAATTCTCATGTTGAAGTTCTAATTCCCACCACCTCAGAATGTGACTGTATTTGGAGACAGGGCCTTTAAAGAGGTAATTAAGTTAAAATGATGTCATTAAGGTTAGCCTTAATGCCGTCTGACTGATATCTGTACAGGAAGGGGAGATTAGGACACAAGCACTCATACAGACAGAGGACAGACCATGTGAGGACACATCTAGAAGGCAGCCATGTGTATGCCAAAGAGAGAGCCCTCAGAAGAAACCAAATTGTTAACATCCTAATCTTGGATCTCTATCCTCCAGAACTGGAAGACTATACATTTCTGTTGTTTGAGCTACCCAGCATGTGACATTTTGTTACGGCAGCCCTAGAAAATGGATATAGCCATCAATTAGCCTCATATTCTCCCGATCTGGGAACAATTTCAAAATAGCTATATTTTAATTTCATAGTGAACCTGTTATTTCATTACACTACAACCAATTAATCCACTAGCTGGTTAGTAGTCTGACTAACTGCTCGATGATAAAGACATTTTATGTAGTCCCTCATCAAAGTTCAACAAAAAATGTCGTTGCACTGGAATGATTATGAACATGCATCCTTGTCAGTAAAACGTCATTTAACCCAAAACACATAATGAGAATTTAAATTGACTTTTCATAAATACAAATGATTCATTATTATACATAGAAAATTATCCTGTGAAGTAAAGCAACAATTGCAAACATCCTAGTACTATCATTGTGAGCATACAGCTAAAGATAAACAACATTCAGTGAACATACTTGCTCTTTTTTTCCTTTTGTTAATAAGTATGTTCTTTGTTCCAAACCTTGTTTGCTCAGATTATTCATATGAGAAGAGAAGTTATTTATTGGAGGAAAAAAAAAACTGTTTTGCTACTGTTTGGAAGGCAGATGGAAATGTTGGGAGTATCAATGCCAGCAAATCTCACATGTGTTACACCAACGAACTTGAAAAGTAGTGGTAGGTGCTTTACAATAGTCTAAATCATCCTGTTTGCATCATCAACATATCACGACCTCTTTTACATTGAAATTGTTCTTGCCTAAGCATCCTACACTAGTGAAAGTGTTGAAAAATAACAAAGATAAATGCAATCTTATCATCAATATTAGCCCTTCCTGTGACTATTAATGATTTTGTGTGTGTGTGCATGGAAGCTTGTTAAAATAATTGTGTATTTGATTTCAATGAGTCTTCATTTAAGGGAGGTAGAATGTGTGTTTATTATATTATTATTATTATTCCCAAACATAACTTATTTTGTGGACATTTGCTCCCACTGCTTATGTTACTTTAGACAGTTTCTGAAGTTGCTGTGACTCATAGCAAAAGGCAGAAAACTTCCTTCATTATTCCAGAGAAAAAATTATAAGGCTACTATTATATGAGTTGTTATATTTAATTTTGGCTTGTGTAGCAGTCTCTGCACCATGAAATTTCTGTTTAGTTTATGAGAGATAAATCACTATTTACAGTCTCCATCATTTGAAACATTTATTCTTTTGTATTCATTTTCTTCTTACCATGTTAAAATCCACTATTTATACATGTTAAAATAGAAACATCGCTCTCTATTTGCCATAAAAAAGAAATAATGGCTTACATTAGTGATCAAACTATAACTATTTGAATTGTAAACTGTATATGAAAATGGGCTAGAAGATTAATCTTTCAGTGAATGATGCCTAGTCAATATTAAGTGTACTATGGCAACTAGTCCAAACTGATCATCCGATTGCATAAAGTAACTTTTACCTTTAAACAAATATTTGAGGTATAATTTGCCTTTGTATACCACAATACTATCTTTACAAAAAAGCTCTGAACAGAACTATAGATACTATTATTTGTTCCAAATGTGAAAGATAAAATGTATCATGTCATCTATCACATATTGATTTAAAGACATCTACAGTATGTTTCTGGAAAATATTCTACACACTGACAAGAATAAGCAAAGAACACCTATGTTTAAGGAAATAAAGAAATCAAAGAGATAACTAGAATCCATTTGAATTTAACAAAACTTCAATTTTCAGGGCATACCAAATGAACCAGCTTGATTACCTACAACACTCCAGGCAGTCACATTCCCCTGGCCTAAAAAAGAGCATCTGCTTTGGACCCCACTCCTGTTTTGCTTCTTTATCTGCTTCAATGTTAACATGAATTTGGGGGGATTTCTGGCTACTCCAATGAAAAGCAAAGGATCAAAAACACATCTTGGAGCAAACTGTGATGTGTTCTCTAGTCTTGTTTGGCCATGTCTACACTTTTGTCTTCTGCATTCCTAAGTCCAGATTAGCTCTGCAGTGTGTGCATATGTGTGTGCATGCACACGCATCCGTGTGTACACAAGCTCATGTAGACCAGCATACACTAAAAGAATAAGGAGAAGTGGGACAAGAAAACTTTATCCTGGAGTGTACAGCCTCAAGCTCATGGATCTGTGAATCCAATGTTACCCAGGTCCTTGAAATGGGAATTTTCCACACGTAAGTACCCTTTCACAGTGCATCAAATGTTGGTGCATTAGAGTAAGCTTGCAGGTTTGGCTTTTGATATAAGAAAAATTCAAAACTTAAATATTCTGGCAAAGGTAAGGCAAAGCCTCCCCTTTATTTCTTCTCAAAGATATTCTTTAAAGCCTCTTTTTATGGCTGAAGTTTTGTTCAATATTTTACAATTAATTATTTGGCAGTGCTAGTTTGGATGTAGAAGGAGCATTTGTTAGCCAAAATTAAAGCTGGAGCATAAACTTCAGAGACTTGCAGATTTCAGAAAACTAGATCATTCACCTAGGTTCTTTTGCCTTTCCATTCTCCAAGCCATTTTGTTTTTCTTTGGATGGCTTAGATAGGTGAATGAAGCCAAAATCATACAAAGGCTAGTTAAATGAAAGGCTTTTGACATTTAATCTGAGTTCTCTGATCTGGGAAAGAGTCTAAATTGTTTCCAGAAGAGAAAGATTCAAGGCCAAGTTCCTTTGTTAAAGCAGATTCTGACCAAAAGTCTGCAAAAACACCCACTGTGACCCTATGCAGATAATAAAGTATGGCTAATCCATCTCCACTTGCTATAATTGTATAGAGATGCATAATAGTGTTAGTGATAAATTGCTGATCAGTCAATACTAGAGAGCTATTATAATTAGGATGGACAGTGGCCTTGGTAGGAATCAATGAGTTAGCATGGCCACTGTTACTTACATAGCTTTGGCTAAGTATCGAGTGGCTCCAAACTTGCTTAGATGAAGCATGGAGTTAGGGGTACAGGATACTGATCTTTTGGTTCCTGTGCATGATCTTTGACCAATATGGCCTCTTCTTTACCTCTTTTTGGATAATGTAGCATTTCTGGGTTTTCCCTTCATGTGTGTCAGTTGCAAATGCTCAGAGACACTGAGGGCAGGGAAATTCGTGTCTTTTCACCATTAAGTTGTGTCAGATAAATAGCCATAGGAATGTGTTTCCCTAGTGAGCATCATTTTTCCTTCTGTAGCTCAAGAGAGAAGTTAAGAGGCTATTCCAAATATAGTTAAGAGGATGTCCACACTTGCCTTCATTCAAAAATATAACAAAAAGGATGAACAGTCAGTGGATCCCCTTGTTCTTATTACCATGAAATCAGAAGGAAAAGATGTGGCTTTCATTCAGGAAATGTTTTCAGTGCCAGTCCTAGGAAATTGGCTTGGTCAGAGGGAATATTTATTAGTGTTACCACTGAGACAGGGAGTATCCACTTTTGACTCTCTTTCCTGGTTTCTCTCATTCTGTCAGATTTTCCACCATTTTAATGTCCAGAAGGTTTGTGTTGTGAGTCTCTGTGAGTTGCTTCCACTGTAGCAATATAAAATGTATCTTCTTTTTTTCAATTTTATTGGAATATTGAGGAACACTGCACCAAACTAAGGGGCTATTTCTTCCCTTCTAATAATTCCCCTGGTAAAACCCAACCATGATTCCTGTAGGGATGAAGAGGCCATTTGCCAAATGTTGGGACCTGAAATAGCATTCCAAGCTGGACCCAGGGGATCCAAGACCGAATCTAGCATTCGAGCTTCTACGGATTGCTCAGGAACACTATGGTTCTCTCCTATACAACTCTTCTATCAACTAGAGTAGAGCCATCATCCAGGAAATTTCAAAGCCAATGAATTCACCATTGATTATTAGAATAATACTTTGTGTATATTTATATCATTGCCTTTACAACATTGGATTGTAATTGTCCTCTATCTTTATTTCCCTTAGAATTAGTTGAAAACAGGTATTAAGCTTTGTTTGTTTATGCCTTTGTATCTATATGCAAGCAGTAAATATTCATAAATGTAAAAATTAGGGGTGGGGAGTAGACATTGGCTGTAGTGCATTATGCTGTCTGTAATTCAAAATTCCTCCCAACTAATGAACCATCTTAATAAAGTTTTTATTGACTGTTTATTTCTACCTTGTTTTTAAAGATTATTCACAAATGATACATTTAATTGAGTTGGATCTCTAAATCTTAATGTCCTTTATCTTCCCCCTCACATAATTACTAGAAATAATAATAACAAAAAATGACTAACTTTTAGTCAGCATTTCTTATATTCCAGGTAGTGTTCTAAGTGTCCTATGCATGTAAGTTTTTTAAAATCATAGAACAATTTTATCGAGTAGTTTTATACATTTCCATTTTATGTAAGAAAAATTAGGTCTGAAAATCCCCCTATAGTCAAAATGTTGGTGTTTTTGGTGTTCTGTTTTTAGTTTTTTGCTTTGTTTTTTTTTACCTTTTTGAGACAGGGTCTCACTGTCACTAGGCTGGAGTGCAGTGGTGCAATCATGGCTCATTACAGCCTCGACCTCCTGGGCTCAAGTGATCCTCCCAGATCAGCCTCCCAAGTAGCTGGGACTACAAGCATGCACCTACATTACCAGCTAATTTTTTTTTTTTTTTTTTTTTTTTTTTTTTTTAGTTTTTGTGGAGATGAGGAATTTCCATGTTGCCCAAGCTGGCCTCAGGCTCCAGGGCTCAATCGATTCTCCCATCTCGGCTTCCCAAAATGCCAGGATTAGAATCTTGAGCCATTGCACTGGCAATTTTGGTATTTTTTGACCAAGACAGTAGCTTTAAAGGTCCCTCAGCTTGACTAGACCTTATGCAGTTGACTATAGGCCCCGACCTCTTTTTCCTTAGAAAATTCGCAATTGTAAATTATTTCTTTGCCCCTTTTTAGGTATAAATCTTCTCCCTGCCTCTTGCCAGTTTTATAACCCACGAATGTCTTTCTCAAGGACATTCACTGGGAGCCATCACTGAAATATAATCATCAAGATAGTGCCCCTATCTCTCAGTCTCTGTAGGAGGGTAGGAGGCTAACTTCATAAGCAACACACAGATGACCTAATCACAATGACCACCCTCCCTCAACATCTTCCAGTACTTCTCGGTTTCTTAAATAGTCTTGACATCTATTGCAATAGTTTTCAATAAAGTCATCCTTCCTATTAAACTCTGTCCAGTGCAATTTTTCTTTGACATTTTCCAAACTTTAATCTTCAGCTTCCCACAGTATTTTATGCAATCTCTCTTTTCCTCTTTGATAATCAAGTACTTGCCTTACTAAAAGTTATATCTTTCTAGAAATTATATGTGTTTCTCTCCATTTCCCTTTCTGTTAATTTCTAGAGGGCCATTCTACTATCCCTTCATTTACTCCTATGATTCCAGAACTCTTTCCCTCATTTTGTTTTCAAAATCACTTTGACCAGCTTCCTAGTGTATTAGAATGTAATTTTTCCCAACATACTGGTCTAGTCTTTTTTTCTGTCTTTTTAGTTATCCTAGAATTTTCCTTCCACCTTGACCACTTAAATATTCCCTACCCTCCATAAATTTATTTTTTTCATATTCTCAGCCACTCAACCTTAGTTTTTGTTTGATATTAACGAAGTAAAATAGACAAAAGAAACAAAAAAGAAACTATTAAAAATCAAAAGTTTCCTATAGCTTTAGATTGCATAAAAACCCAAGCTATAGATTGCCATTATGTTACTATTTCAGAACGTTTGAGGATAAAATTTTCAGAAATATTTATGAAGAAAGATGATAAAGGGAGTTTATCTGGTGTTTAGCCTATGGGAGGGGGATGGGCAAAAACCAATGTGGCTGTGCATTGCTAGGACAGAGGCCTTTGCTACAACCACAAGAGGTAGACCTGCTGCTTACCCTTTACTCACATGATGGATGCATCCTGTGAGCGTCTTGTATTCCTAAGAGAATTCTTGGTATTCACGACATTGTTAATAATAATAGATTTAAGAAACTGATGAGTCCCCTGCTTCTCCCACATGAGAACAAAGCAGTCCTAATTATCTAGCACTAGGAAGTCTGTGCCAGTGTGGATTTATGCTCCCTTCCAAACTAGAATATAGCATCACAACTGATTTTCTTTTTCCAATTCTAATTTTCCAGACCTATTAAAATGACTCTAAACCAAACTGCTTTGAATGAAATAATATTGGCTTTTTCCCATTATTCCTTTCTTTTCTCCCTTGTCCCCTTTCTACTAAATCAAATTAATCTGCTTTAAAAATAGAAAAGATAAGTGATTATATAATCTTCTAAGGGAGGCAGGAAGCTGTGGGACATAAGGCACAGATGAAATGCTCACGCATCGGGCATATTTCTACGATATGCATGTCAATCCAAGCCTTTTGTGGCCCAGTACTGTGGGGATGCAGCAAATGGAAATGGAAAGGTTTTCCCTTGTCTGAGGCCTCCAGTGATGTAAAGCACCTTCTGAGGGAAAAGAAATATTTCCACAAGCCCAGAGACAATGTTCAGGTGCCACTCTGAGCTCATGACACTCGGAATTACAGCCTGGAGGTGACTTAATCCTGACACAGGAGACAAAGAGGGAACATGTAGCAGCCCCCCTGTCACTGTCACTGTTAACTTTAAAACCTTATTGAGTCGTGCTTTTTATTCATGTACATATGAAAGAAAAATAAACAATAAGAAAGCAATTTAATTATTTCAGGTAAGCGGTGGAGCTTCACTAGAACAGAAGCAGGGCCTCAGCCCCTAAGCTCCATTTCCTAAAACCCAAGCTTCAGTCCTACCCATCCCCAAGAAGATCAGACTTTGTCCAAAGAAAAGTCAACTGAGGGGAAGGATGGTATTCTGTGTGAACAGAGTTATTTTAAGAAGCTACCAGCATTTGCATTTCTAAACTATTAGCAGACAAAATGAAGGGAAAATTTCAAAATGCATATACATATATACATGTTTTAAAATCTAATTCGGGGTCACAGCTGTAATTGCAAAAGCTTTGGATTGTGTGTCATGCTGGAATAATGTCGTGTTAGTGAATGTAAAGCATTCAGCATTACTTTATGCCTCATTGCACCCTAAGTGTGATGCTATTTCAATACAACACCTACCACTTTTAGGTCTTTATGCTTAAGTATGTCTTGCTGGATGAAATCAAGCTACAAATTGGATGAAATTGGGTCCTCCCAGTTGATTCTACTGCTAGAAGCTCCAAAACTCAATTGTTTTTTAAGTCCAATTCCATGATTCAGAATTTAAATTATCATGATTTCTTGCCCTGAAAAATAAATACAAAAGCCCAACTTGCCGCACAGATGAAAAGCAGTTTTTTTGGCTACAAAAGTAAAGTAAACTTTTTTTTCATACAGGCATTAGAAATGGCTCAATAATGGAGCAAGCAGTACTTGAGAAAATATAAGTTGCAGGAATTTGAGACATTGTTTTGGAAAAATAAAAAATAAAAAGACCCTTCGTTCAAATGATTCCATCCAAAATATTTCACAGAATAACTGCTCCATGTTCAGGTTGCTTTTATCCTTGTAGAGTAGCTCAAATCGTTCTACTGCCACCTAAATTTGTGGTTGCAACAAATTGGTAAATTTTTAAAGACAATATTTAGATTACAATGTCCTTTCGTTTTGCAGTTAAAGATGCATGTGAAAAGATGATTCTGCTCATACAATCTGACCATCCCACCCTCAGAGGATTTATGTTTCATTAAGTCACGCAAAAGGTGGTAGATGGGATGCAGATTTTCAGTGTTGCAGGAAGAGTTAAAATTGAACCTAACTGGAATTGAATCCAAGTTTCAAGTAGTGCAATTGCTACTGCTGTTTTTGAAGATTCTTAAATTAATTCTTCAAAGTTCTTGTCATTGTAGAGACAAAAAGCTCTTCAAAACAGTAGTAGTTTGTCTAGCACTATATATTTTGGGGGACAACTCTAATAAAATTGCTAAAAACAGTCAGAAGTTCTTGTTCCATGTGCACATTTGAATTATGCTAAGTGAAGGCTGTATTTTTAAGAGAAAAACAAATCTAACTAAAGAAAAATATTGTACTATTGATAAGTTGGTATTGTAATAACTTATACAAATTTTTACTTGATCCAAGTAATAAAAAATAGTTACATTTGCCGGCAGCTATCTTGAGGGAAAAATAGGCTAAAAAAATGGCATTACCAGCAGATGAATTTGTGTTTGTTTTCAGTGAAAGAGATTATATTGCTCATGTAGTGGGTAAAAACATTCTGGTAAACAATAGCAACATTATATAGAAATTAACCAGTCCAGGTTAGTACTAGGATTCTCTGACATGGGTCTCTGTCCTCTTAGGATAATCTAATGGCTCAAACCACATAATCTTGGAAGAATCAGGCTGAGTTAGATTGGACTAGAGGAATAAGCAGTGTCATCAATACCAGAAAAAAAAAAAAAGATTCAACAATAACAACATCAGCATTTTGAGTAATTGAAGAAGTAAAATGGTAAGGAAAGCTATAGGCACAGATATTTCAGAGGATTGGAAGTAAGCTCTGACAAAATGTAGTTCTCCCCAACCCACAACCCCAAGAGCGATCCCAGTTGATGCTTGTGATCATGAAGGAGTTTATGATGCCGCCCTCTACATGGTTCTGATTCTGCTCTCAGACTATACCTAGCTGTCCAGCTTATTTCTTCTTCCCTCCTTGTCATTACTGGCTCCTCAATTGGTTACTAAAGTGATGATCATTTTTCAGTAATAGTGGCTAGCTACAGGTCTCCCTTTAATCACTGCTGCCAAGCCCTTAGCACACACCTAGAAACCTCCACAGTTAAATGCAACAATCTACCTTGAGGACTTTACTTATTTACTTACTTAATTTATGAACATTAATGTATATGAACATATTCTGTGCACTCCCCCTGTCCAGCTCCAAACCTCTCCAAAAAACAGCCTGGAGAAATTATACATGTAAGAGGGAATCATAATTCCCAGGGCCAGGAGACAGAGGGGGAAAGAGAAACAGATTGATTCCTGAAGAGGCTTAACTTGTGTGTAGGGTGAGGTAGATGCTGCAACTTCAAGTGGATCCAAGTCAGAGGAAGTCTATCATGTGAGAGTAGGTTAGAGGAAAGTGTTTACATTCCACTCTGACATCTCCCCCACATTGCCATGAGACAATCGTTTTTTGCCTCATTGCAGTGGAAATCAGCATCAAGCAGCTTAAGTCAGGAACGATGACAGCACACTGCCAAGTTCAGCTGGAATGAGGAGATTCATCAGCCACCCTGGAGCAGTAACTCCTGTTAGCAACTCCACCAAGCCTCCACAGTTGATAAATTCCAACCAAGAAAGACTGAAAAATGTAATTAATGAACACAAACTATTATATATAGCCATACACATATTAATATATATTTTCTATAAAAGCATATATATAATATGTACACACACATACATGTCACACACACACATATATATATATATACACACAAAGAGAGAGAGAGAAAGGTATACATTTTTATGGACAAAATTTCTATATACAATTAATCCTCATTATTTGTGGGTTCTGTATTTGTGAATTTGCCTACTTCTTAAAATTTATTCATAATCTCACAAGTCAGCAGCATGTTCATGGTCATTTGCAGACATGTGCAGCGTGGTAAAAAAAAATTGAGTGTCCTGATGCACATGCTCCTAGTTGAGGTCAAACAAGGCCACACTCTGCCTTCTTGTATCAGCTCTTATAGCGTAAACAAGTGTCCCTTTCACAGTCTATTTTGCTACTTCTGTGCTTTTTCTTGGTGATTTTGCTGTTTAAAATTGTCTCCAAGTGTGCTGCTGAAGTGCTTTGTAGTGTTCGGCAGCACACAAAGCCTGTACTGTGCTTCATGGAGATAGTCGTCATTGAGGCATGAGTTACAGTGCTGTTAGCCTGAGTTCAATGTCAATGAATCAACAACATATACTAAATAAGTTGTCTTTAAACAGAAACACACACAAAATAAAGTTATGTGTTGATCAGTTGATGAAAATATTGTTACCAGAGGCTTGCAGAAAGATAACCCTGTAATTCTCCTGGGAGAAATGGTTCCCTATTCACTAATTCAGTGTTCATAGTGACTTTATAGAACATAATAGGAACTGACTGTGTGTCTTCTCACACATACTCCCCACACAATATTACACATACAGGAATCAGACACCAGACACCACGAAGACAATTTACAAAAATAGATCATGTATTTGACTATAAAGTCAATCTCAATAAATTGCAAAAAGTTATTATCTTATCAACTATGGTTTCCAACTCTAATGCAATAAGTGTAAAAATTAAAAATAAAATAGGAGTTGTAAAGTAGCATATATTTGGAAATAATATGATTACATATTTGATACTGTGTTTATATTACTATTTGGATATATAGTATATCATGAAGGAAATAAATATTTATAATTAAATGATAAAAAGAGTATGTGCCAAAATTTATGAAATGCAACCAAAAAAAGAATGCAGATTTAAAATTGTAGCCTTAAATACATTTATTTTAAAATTAGATTTAAAATAGTGTTTAATCACTATACAAAAAAAATTTAAACTAAGGACAAAAGTATGGTCTGAATAAAAGGAGAGAGATCTCGTTTCCTTAAACAGGACAACTAATGTCAATTCTCCTTAATTAATGTATAAATTCAATGCAATCCCACTCATTTCCAGCTGGATGTTTTGATAAATATACTTACAATTTATATAAAAAATAAAAGACCACAGATGCCTCTAAGACAAATACATTAAAAAAAATAATGAAGGGAGAATTTTTCAACTGGGTATGAAGATAAACTATTAGGTCATAGTAATAAAAGTCATACATTAGCACGAGAACAGACAAATGGATCAATGGATCAAAAAAGTACTCTGAGATAAATGAAAGTATACCTGGAAATTTAATATATTATTTAATTCAAAATGGAAAAGATGATTTGTTCTTAAATAGTGTAAGGGAAGTGGCTCATTTTGTGGAGCAAAATAAAACTGGCTTGCAAGATTGCATACAAATTTGGACCCCCTGGATTTAAAATCTATCAAGTTAATAGAAAACATAAAGAAAAATGTTGTCACTGAGATTGGTAAAGAAGATAATTTTAAACAAAATTTTAAAAACACAAATCATCATCCAAAATAATTATGAATGGACAAAAAAAGACATACGATACACTGATGGAATATACTTGCAATGTGGAAAAACTATAGTATTCAAAAGATTTCAAGAGTTCCTACAAGCCAACAAAAAAAGATAGGAACTCCAATGTATACATATATCAGAACATCAAATTGTACACCTTAAATAAATACATTTTTTATTTATCAATTATACCTCAATGATACTGAGGAAAAAATAAAAATGATATGAATAAGCATTATACAGAAGGGGAAACTTAAAAAGGACACTAACAACATAGAAATATATTCACATTCATTAGCCATTAGAACATGAAAATTAAAACAATGGTGTAATATCAACATGCTATCTCTTTAACCTGACAAAAATTACAAACCTGAAAAACACCAAATGTTGGTGAGGATATACAGGTACAGAGGCTTTCATGCATGAGAATCTTGTCTGTTGCCATACTAAGGGGTAGTCTGGCATTGTTTAGTCAAGTTTAGTATATTTACACCTCATGGTCCAGCAATCCCAAAATTCTAACACAGGGTTAAGGAAGTTTATTCCAGTATAATTTGCTGTTACAGAACATTGCAGGCACTTAGCATATCCATCACTGGGAGAGCAGAGAGGTAAATTTGCATAAATACACATTCCCACAGTTCTATGCAGTGGTTAGAAGCAATGGGCTGAATATGCACCTAGACACAGAGATCTTAAAAAATAAATAGTACTGAGTAAGAAAAAGAAAAGGGAAAAAGAAAGGAGATACACAGACAATGCCATTCAGAAAAATTAAAAATGCATGGAGACAAAACATGGATGCACTGACATGGACCAATGATGATAAAGTGCTATGAACTAGAGGATATAATTCATTCATTCTTATACAACAAATTTACATACAAGTAAGTAACTTTAAACATTATATTAGAAACTATAACATCATCATAGGCCTCTATCTCCTAAAGATATGGCATTTTAGTGGTACAGAGTGTTCTTTATAAAAAGAATATCTGGTCAGAGAAAACCACTCAGTATGTTTTCCACGTATCCATTCAGACTCTAATAGAAGTATTTAGTCTAGATTTGGGGTCACAGCTTCACACAGAACATTGATGAAAGAAGAGCATACCTTGTGCAGATCTTGGTGGATGAGAGAACTGCAGACTACCTAATTTAAAGACCAAGGGAGTAAATGGAACCATTTTACCTGAAAGCATAGACAGTATATGTATATCTCTTCAATTAATTTACGAGCTATCATGTAGAAGAGAAATAGGAATTGCATGTTGCATCCAGGGGTAAAAAAAAACAGGGGGACCCTATAGATGAGTAAATTTGGGGTAAGAACAAAAGAAATTTTTAACAACGAGAAAAGTCCAAAATGGGCATTGTTACAGAAGGAGTTCTCTGCCTAGCATTTTGCAAGCAGAAGGTAGACATCATATGTGAAGAATGCACAAAAATTCCTGCCTTAGAATAGAGTGTAAAGGGAGTGGCCTGTAATGCCTCTCTACTATTTAAAATTTTATCAATTTAAACATTTTAAAAGGTAAAGAAAAATTAAATATTAAGTACTTTTCTTTCTTTTCCACAAGTTTTGATCAAGCAATGACTTGTGTCTAAATAAGCTACTGAGTCAAAAAAGGAAAACAAAACACAATCCAAGAATAATTCAAGGATGCTCTTTCTTTCTGGACTATCTGTAATGCCAGTGTGTCTCCCTTACTCAGTAGTATCTATTGAAGTTAGTAAGGATACCTAGGATGGCTCCAGGTATTTACTCATACATCAATCTATTTTAATATCTATGATTAGAGCTCTCCACAGTTATGATCATGTACCACAGGCATCTGTTTTTCTACATCAGGTTGGAACAAACAACCCCAGGGTGTGAAATATTCAGAGGTGGAAACTCTTCATATTAATATTATGATTCAAATTTCTATAATGAAAGTGACCAATGGCCTTGTAAGACGAGCTCCCTCAGAAACTATATTATTGCTAGCACTCGTAGCATTTGAACTGTTCTGACGGTATATTAGAGCACAATGCCTGAAAGATTAATTTATTCCTTTTTCTTCTTGTTAAGTCCTACTGTTTTGTTTTCCCTGCCCCAATCAAATTCAACCTGTACCCTAAGGTATTAAGGCATTCTTGAACAAGCCTTGAATTCCAAAATATGTAAAACTTGATTTTCTAAATAAAATGAGTTATGATGAACTTTATGTCACAATACCCTGCATTCTTTAAAACGTATGCTAACCATTCCTATTTAGTACAAATGTAATGATTTAGTTGAAAATATAACTCAAGATTAGAGACACTATTTTCTTCATTTACTGGTCAAAAACACTAATGCTTGGTTCTTTTTTACTCCTGGTTGAACATCTTACATAATAGCACTTCTCATTTTACTAAACTTAATGAAAGGATCAGAAACCAATCTGTTAAGGATTATGAGAAGAAAATAATGGCATCACTAAAACAAGATTCATGATATTAGATGCCTAAGCTGAATATGCACTGCTGAATTCAGAATTGTTCTAGGGGAAAAGCAACAGAACAATTGGTTGATGGTCAGGGGTCAGCAAACGATAGACCTCAGGCCAAATCCAACCTTATAATAAATAAATATTCTTGGAACACAGCTGTGCTCATTCATTTACATATTGTCTATGGCTGCTTTGGTGCTACAACTTCGTTGAATAGTTGAGCCTGAGACCACATGGCTTGCAAAGCCTAAAATATTTAATATCTTGCCCTTGCAGAAAAACTTTGTCAATCCCTGCCCTAGGTCCTCTGAAGACCTGTGAAGAAGACTGTCAGACTCTTAGTAAATCCCAAGTAATAAACACAAATCAATTTAGGTGAATCAAAAGTACCACAAAACTAGGTAAAAAGGAAAGATACCACAGCAGGACAGGGAAATCATCCATAAGAAAAGTATTAGTGAGAGTTGTATTCATTCATTCATCTGATGTGTATGATTAAGGGCCTACTGTTTTTTGGTCACTCTGCCAGGCCCTGGAGACACAAATGAGAACAAAGAAAATATAATTTCTATCCTCGTAGAGCTGGATATGGAATTCACATATTAAACAAACTCTGAAATAAATATAAAACTACAAATAGTGAGTGCTATCACTTACCACAGGGTGCTGTGAGAAATAAAAGCTAACAAGTTTAAGGTGGACATCTGCTAGTATTTTTTTTTCCCTGAATTCATTTCTCCATTTGGGTAATGTTAACAGTAACCCTCTTCCTTTGGAAAACATCTATTCCACTCTAAACTTAGATTTCTGGAAAGGCTTGCAAATCCACACTTTCCAACTCACGGAGTTGGAAAGATTATGCCAGCTAGGTGAGTTGGGGTAGCCCAAGCTCCCAGTTACAGCAATTGGTGCAGGAAGAGTCCATGACCCAAGTCTACCCAATCACAGGCCTTTTTCAGCATGCGTTTATAGTGAAGAAGAGAAGTTATCTTTTTTGTTTCCTCTTTGGTCATGATTCAATGAATATTTCAGCCCCCAGCTGCCAGGGACCTTATTCTCTTTCATGTGATCATGGAGAGAGACATGGACAGACAGAAACAGAGAGAGAGACACAGAGAGTGGCCTCATGGCATTTGAGGTCCTGGATACAACTGACCGTGGAGCCGAAGACAAACCACAGGTGATCAGAAGAAAGATGGATTTCTCATGTAAGATCTCAGGATAAATTGCCCCAGGCATTCATAAAAAGAGAATAATTGTCATTCTGGCATTGAGGTTACCCTAAAATGAGAAAATGGACAAAGTTACTGAGGGAGTTTGCCAAGTGTGATTGGGAACAAGTACTCTTCATGTGTGTAAGGGGGATAGGTATGTAAGAAAATGAAATAAAAGTGAGATGTGATAAAAAATCCAAGCACCAATTGAGTGGAACCTGCTCTTTGCTGTGACGCTGTCAGCTATCACTTAGATATTGAAGATCATATGTATACACATGAAAACATGGGCACATGTATTACTGTGCATTTAAAAATGTATACAGGGGCACTTGCATGAGAGAGATGTTACTCTTGCCTTCAAAAATTACTTCTACGGAATCTCGAAAAATATGCAGGGAACTAATAAAAGAGATTACCTTCAGGAGTTGGGAGGAGTGAGTCAAAAACTGAGTGAATAAAGAAAGATTAAAACTTCTCAATGAATATATTTTTAGGTCACTTTGCCTTTTGAATCATGTGCATGAATGTTTTATCTATTTAAAAATAAGAGAAAAGTTCTTAAAATATGTTTTTCTTCTGTAAAGGAGAATTTAGAGGGGAATGATTGTTTATTCCTGTTCTCTCAAGTTATACCTCCACAAACTTTCATTTGTTCCTTAGTCCACTCCATCTAACTTCCACTTCAGTCACTACAACACAACAGCCTTGGCTATGGTCCCTAATGATTGCCTGAGCACCCAATTCAATTAGACATATTTCAGATCATATCTCTGTTAACATCTCGGCACTATAGTCCTGCTCTACTTTTTGAAACACTCTATAACCTTGGATTCTGGGATCCAGACTCAGTTCTTGCTTCCTTATACTTTCTCAATACTCTTTTCTAGTTCCTTCTGAAAATTAATTCTCCTCCATACATCCACTTAATCTTGGAGTTTCCAGGCTGAGCCCTAGGTCCCCTTCTCCCTTTATATTCTCTCATGTTCAGCAAACTTGTCTCCATCCACAATGTTAATTACTATCAGTATATTAAAAACCACGAAGTAAGTATCTTTATTTCAGAGTACTCTTATGAATTACAGGCGTGTACCTACATCAACCTTTTCAACGTTTTGTTCTTGCTGGTCTTAAATGAAACCTCAAATTCAACATATAAACCAAAGACTCATTAATTCCTCCTCTAACATTTCAGTGCCCCCTATTCCAGTAAATGACACAAACGTGATTCAAGATAGAAACCTAGAAGTTATTCTTTTTACTACGTTCTCTATATTCCCAGCGTTCCATCTATCACAAATCCCACAACTGAAAACAGTGGTTCTCAAAGTATTGTCTCCTGACCAGTAGCATCAGCATCATCTGGAAACTTGTTAGAAATGTAGATTTTCAGGGATCACCCTAGGTTTTCTAAAACAGAAACTGACTTTAGGGCCCAACAATCTGTAAAGCCTACTAAAGTTTGAGAACTACTGAATTAACCTTTTAAGAAACTCTGGAATTTGTTAACTTTTCTCAATCCCTATTGCCATCTGTGTAGTCAAAATGCTACCAACCCTAACCAGGACTCTATAGTAGACTTCTAACTGATCTCTTGAAATATAAACACTCCATCCAGCCCAGTTCATTTTTAATTTATTTTAAATTAATTAATTACCTTTTTTAGAGACAGAGTCTGGCTCTGGCACCCAGGCTGTAGTGCAATGGCACAGTCATAGCTCACTGTAACATCAAACTCCTTGGCTTGAGTGATTCTCTCACTTCAGACTCCTGAGTAGCTAGGACTACAGGCATGCACCACTACACCAAGCTAATTCTTTCTATTTTTGTAGAGGTGGAGGTGGGGGTTCTCTCTTTGTTGTCCAGGCTGGTCTCAAACTCCTGACCTCAAGTGATCAGCCTCCCAAAGTGCTGGGACTATAGGCATGAGCCACTGCACCCAGCCCTACTTAATTTTGAACAGCGAACATTGTTTCAGCTGTTTCCATTTTAACTAAATTAAGCCCTGTTACCACTGAACTCCTGACCTACCTTCTGTCAGCCAGCATAAATGGAGACCCATTCAGAAATGTCTTCTATGCTTGAAGAAACTCTAAAGCTCTCCAATGTTTGGAATCCCCTCAAAACACTGGCACAAGTACCTAGGGAAGGCACATGGCCAAGGGAATGCAGTGTCCTCCTTTAGCTGCTATTGTTTTGGTTAGCAGGGAACACACACAAATTCATTCATTCATTCATTCATCCAAAAAATATCTATTTAGTACCCACTACTTGGCACAGATTATATTAGGACTTGGGAGTTCAGAGGTAATAGGGTCCTGGGGTTGGCCTACACAAAGTTCCCAGTCTAATTGAAAAAGATGATGAATTAGTGTTAGGTGCTAAGTAGATAAGAGATAAGTGGATAAGACTTCTGAGGGTAACAAATCATTTAGAGTGTAAAAATAATGGAGGGATTACAGTTTTATAGAGAGCATTAAGGACTGGCCTCAGGATGATAGGAAACAAAGAGAGAAAAACAAATGCAAATGGCCTGAGCAGGGAAGAACCTGATGCTAATGATGAACCACTTCAGGGTCAGTAGGGCTGATAAAGAAGTGAAACAGGAGAGAGGAAGAGGTGAGGCTGCAGAGTGAGGAGGAGCTAGATCGTAGGGTCTTCCTAAATTAATGTAAGCATTTTGGATTTTATTCTAAAATCCACAGCTACATTAATGCAGCTGCTCTTCAAGAGAATGGACATGAAGAGGACAAGAGCAGATATGAATGGGCCCACTGCGAACTAAGGTCAGAACACAAAACAGTTTTGTTTTCTTGGGTCAGTGTATCAGTTCAAGAACATTAAGAATCCAGGAGGCTTTCGAGGGCTAGCCTGGGGAAGTCACCATAATTTCTCATTGTGTTTTTATAATAACATACATTCCAAAAACCTAAACAACTAAGGAAAAAAGACTCTAGGAACACATTCTGTAAAGTTGGGGACTGCCACAAAAATTCTAAGCATATTTATAGTTAAGTTACTTGGTATCAACACTTTTCAATACTTTTACTGGTGAAGTTAATAGTTACTTTAGGTGTTTCTAGTTTTTAGAACCTATGATCTTCTATTATCCAAAGAATCAATTACGGATGGTTTTCAATCCCACTTTTAGCTTGGACTTCTCGATCACAAATTGTTTTTATTTATAATTTATTTGAAGCTTTATTTAGCTCTTCTGTTATTCCTTTCATTTATTCAAATGTAAATATGCTCAGCAGGGAGGTGACTATATTTGTCAAGCCACCTCTGGTCCTCCTAAAAAGAAATAAATAGCTCTTATGTGATGGAAAAATATATTGTATTAATTAATTAAATCCAATATTTTCCTCCTACAAAATGTCTTTTACTGGATTTTCTGCCTACTTTGTGGCTACATTCTTTGCTGCCTGGAAGGGGAACAGAAAGGTGTAAATACTGTTCACACCTCCTAACTGGTGTAATTAACAAATCTCTAGGTTACTTTGCAGCATGAAGTCTCCTATTTCACTGTAAGGGCTGGAGGAACAAGTTTAGATACTTAATGACCTGTCCACATACAGGAATAGCTCCGGCTTCAATCCACTAGAACTTACTTACAAAGCAATCATAGAGTATAATCTTCTACAAAGAAGCATGCCTAATAGCCATTTTCTAACTTGCTTGCAGCTATTTCAGCTGCAGCATTATTTCCAATTCAGGAAATGTTTTCCAATGCAAGGGAAAAAAAATAGACATATTTTTAACAACTCTGAAAAAAGAAACCTTGCTTTTAAACTTTGTTCTGTTCCTGATGTCAAAGCCGCTTTCCCGACTAATTAGGTTCCTAAGTTCTTGGTCAGAGCCCTGAGCTTTCCTGAAGCCTTTACTTTGACCTCATTTACAATCAGCCCAATCTATGAACATATTCCAAATATCAGCTAGGTTGATTGCTATCTTAATATCTTCTCTCCTAGACAAATGGTCTTTCTTTAAAATCATATGTAATCAGTAAAACATAAGAATAAGATTTAGGGCTTTGTGGGCTGTGAGCAAGTTTGAAGCCTGTCTCTTGTGTAACTTTAAGCTAGTTACTTAATCTCTCTGGGCTACAACTGTGAGAATAAAATATAGGATACTAAGTTAAATTTGAATTTTAAATAAACAATGAATATTTTTTAGTAAAGGTATATCCCATGTCATATTTGGTCACTCTCAATCTCAACCCTACTTTGGGCCTCAGTTTTCCTAAGTGTATGATGAATGTAATAATAGGGGAGTTGTGAAGATTAATCTGGTTGAAGCATTATGGTTATGGTGCATGGCAAATGGTGAGTCATCATTAATTCTTAGCTGCTGTGCTGCTGTTATTTTGTTCTCTAAGAAATAAAAGTGGTAACACAAGAATATCTAGATAGAGCTTGCCACGTGCTTGGCAAAAAGAGACCTAGACATTGCTGAACACATATGCTTTCTACCAACACATTCTTGTTAGATGCAACCATGTGCCAGGGCCTAAATGGTCTCATCAAGTCCTATGATCCCATGTGCTATAGCAGTTTTAAGATCTATTTTATACAGAAAGAAACTGAAACTCTGAAAAGTTTAGTGACTTGCTATCAGACAGCAAGGTAGTATCTGGCAAAGTTGGGTTTTGTTTTTGTGAGACTCCAACATGCAGGCTCTTTCCTCTATTCTGACTAGTGTCCTAAAATGAAGTAAAATTTGATATCACTGAAAAAGTATTTGAATTTAAGGAAAGAGTAATACACATTTTCATCTTAGTAACTATCAGTATGATAAAGATAACTGAGAATAATTATATAACACTTTAAAAAGCCACAAAGGACTAGCACCATAATTTGTGACTTTATCTGACAATGGACCTATGAATGTGTCATTTCTAGTTACCCTCTTCTCATAAATGAGGCTGAAATTCAGGACCTAGATGTCTCCCTTATCAGCATGGAGCTGTAATTGTTAAAGTCAGGACTAGTTTCCTGGGGCTGCTGTAATAAAATATGACAGACTGGGTGGCTTAAACAACAGATATGTATTTTCTCACAGTTCTGTAGGCTGAAAGTCCAAGATCAAGGTGACAGCAGGGCTAGTTTCTCCCATGGCCTCTCTCATTGGCTTGAAGATGGACACCTTCCTGCTGTGTCCTCACATGGTCTTTTCTTTGTGCACATGTATCCCTCCTGTCCCTTCCTTTTCTCTTAAGGACACCAGTCAGACTGAATTAGGACCCTACCATTATGACCTTATTTAACCTCAGTTATCTTTTTAAAAGCTCTGTCTCCAAATAAGGTCACATTGCAGTTTAGGGCTTCAATATTTGGATCTGGGAGAAACACACTTTCAGTTAATAATACCAAGCTTTCTCATTTCTGGTCTCACCCATGTTGTTAGTCATGATGCTTTTCTCAGAGTACTGTAAAAACAAGTTCTGTTGTTGGCATTTTTCATGGGAAAAGAAATACATAAAATGTGATGATGGATACATTTATAAAGATTAATAACCAATCTTTGAAGTATAAGAATTTTAAATATTCAATAATTTACACATTTGATAACTACACACTTGGGGTCTGGTCCACTATAATATCTTGGACTAAGAGAAAAATAATGAATCTGAAAATAAAATTGATTCTAGCTGATACAATAACTAATTTCACATGTTAAGAAGTATCAGGAAGTTAGAATCTATTCCATACAGGTTTGAGGAAGAAACAATGATGGGGCATGCACTATCTTACACTAATACCTTCAAATTTTAACATTCTAAAGTGTAGAAAGTTTAGGCAGCACTCCATAGGTCAAACCAGCCTCAACATGTACCTTTAAATGCCACGTTAGATTAATAGCTGGGTATGCTGAATGATTCAATGGATGATTCATAGGACGACTGCTTACTCCTGGAATCAGACGGATTCTATGACACAGTTTAATTTGTTTGCACTTAGCAGCAGTGTGGACAACGTAAGGGAGTCTATAATGGAAGCAGCTGGGGGAGAAATCTGTAGGAAAAATGTAAACAAATCTTTCAACACTTAGTGAATGTAGGTAGAGAGCATTTAATATGGACACCACTATAAATGATTTGAACTGCAATATTGGTTTTTAAAAACACAGTCTGTCCAGTGGTATTTTTATAGTTGGTGTCAACCACAGTTGTTTTTAGTTACAGCTTGCATAACATTTCAAGATAAATCAAAGTGAACTGTTCTGAATTTTAAAAAGTAGCACAGATTTGCTAATACTGTAATCATTGCTTTGACCAAAGGCTACTTTGCACTATGTCTACATAACACTTATTCGACAAATATTTATTAAGTGTTGATTACTCTCTAGATACCATCCAAGGCACTGGGAATATATCAATGAATAAAACACAGTCCCAGTATGCAATATACTTATAGTGTCTCCTGGGGAGAGAAGCACCTGAAACGCAGGGTAAATGCTAAATGACATAAGTGTTTGTTCTGGATTCTGGAGAAGGGGCAACATCTATGCTTGTCTTGACTAAGGGAAATTAAGATAAGTTTCCTAAAGAAGACAGTGTCCAAGCTCAGATCAAGGGCCAAGAGTTAGGCAAGGAGTTGGCAGGAAGAGCCTCCTGAGAAAAGGGCTAAGTATATATAATGTAGTGAAGATCAAACTAAGCTCAGTACAGGAAGCCATGTACCATGATTGAACCACAGAATGGGAATCAAGGGGTGTTGAAAAATGAGGTTGGAAAAGTTCTCAAGCGAGTGTGTGCACAATGAAGAGGAGCTTTTTTTCTGGAGCAAATACAGCTTTTAAAGAGCTTTAAGAATGGGAGTGATATTCAGCATTGTCTTTTGTTTTTAGAAAAATTACTCTAGTTGACTGTGAGCATATTGTCAACTAGACATAGTAAGAAGACATAGTAGGAAGACCAGGTAAGAGTTAACATAGTAATGTAGGTTTATAGCATCCTGAACAAAAGCATAATGTGGACCATTTTGACACGTTTTAAAGAGGTAATATTGATTGGATTGAATGCGGAAAGTGGAGGAGAGAAAAAACTGAATATGTTCCTGAGGATTCTGAATTAGGCAACTTGTAAATCAAGGTGTCATTAACTAAGAACCAGGAGCAGGCTGGAGGAAAGACAGTGGCATATGTTGAATACTATTTTATTTAATTTATTTAAACAATCCTTACTGAAGCCCTACTTGTGCTTGATATTGTAATCCATCAGGCTACTATAACAAAATACCAAAATCTGAGTAGTTTAAATAACATAAATGTATTTATCTCACAGTTCTGGAGGCTGGAAAGTCCAAGATCAAGGCACTGGCAAACTTAGTGTTTAGTGAGACCCACTTCCTGGTTCACAGATGGCCATCTTTTTGCTGTGTCCTCACAATGGCAGAACGGGTAGAAGAGCTTTCTATGGCTCCTTTCACAGAAGCACTAATCCCATTCATGAGGAATCCAATCTTATGACCTAATCAATCCCCGGTAGCCCAACCAAATATCATTACCTCGGGTGTTAGCTTTCAACATATAAATTGGGGTAAGATACAAACATTTACTCCATAAGATATCAACCTTGGGCCCCCAACATTTATGTCTTCTCAAATGTAAATATATTCATTTCATCCCAATAACCCCATAAGTCTTAATTAATTCCAGCATCAACTTAAAGGTCTAAAGTTCAAAGTCTTATGTAATTATCATCTAAATCAAATGGGTGAAACTCAAGATATGAGTCATTTTGAGGCAAATTTTTCTCCAGCTATGAACCTGTGAAATCAAACAAGTTACATGTTTCCAAAATATAATGGCATGACAGGCATATGATAGATATTCCCATACCAAAAGAGAAATATAAAAAGAAGAAAGGGGCAACAGGTTCCAAGTAACCCCAAACTCCAACAGAGCAATCAATGTTAAATCTAAAGGCTTATGAATAATCTTAAACTCCATGTTCTAGCCTCCAGGCCCACTGGGACAGAAGTCCTGTCTTCCAGGCACATTGGGGCAGGGATCCCACCTCCTGAACCCACTGGGGTGGCAGTCCAATCCCCTCAGCTTTGCTGGGCAAGAGTTAGGCTCACAAAGCTGTGGGTGGGTCTGTCCCCATGGCTTTTGGAGGCACCACCCCAATGGCTCCACTGGGAATTTCCATAGTGAGGGCTTTTTGAGGTTGGCAGAAGCCTCACTAGGGCTCTCTGCAGTGATCCTGCACCCATGGCCATTAGCTTCCTGATTCCCAACTCCATAGGCATCCTATGCCTGTGGCTTTCCTGGTATCCTTTAAAATCTAAGTGGAGGTAGCCATTCATCATGGCTCTGATGGCTGTCATGCACTCCAGACCAGGACCCTCTGGAGCCACACTTGGGGTACTTTAGGACCACGGCACTAGAGTGTGGGAAGTGGAGCCTGCACTGTGAGGCAACACCAGCACCAGCAGTGAGTCCTGAGGTCCCACAGGCTCTAGTGCCCTCTCTTGAAACTGCCTTGTCCCTGGGACCCTGGGACCCTTGCTCTCTGAGCCTGTGATGGAAGTGGCAACCCTGATGACACCTGAATCACCTTGGGAGAGGCGAGAGGGGGTCATTTTTCCATTGCGGTGAACAATAATAGCTCCTAGCTCTATACAAATAGCTGACCAGTGTCTTTATTTTCTTAATGAATAGCACCTGGTTTCTGTTGAGATGGCCCATCCTTACTAATCTTATCACACAGTCACTTGACCACACCCTTAGCATTGTCTCCCGAGCAGTTTCTCATTCTTTTCAGTATTGGCAGGCTAATAATTTTCCAATTCTTTAAGTCCTTCTTCCCTTTTGATTTACAATTCCACCTTTAAATCATTTCTCTCTTCCCAAATATTGCTATAATCAGTCAAGAGAAATCAGACTTTTCTTTCTGCACTTTGCTTAGATATTTCCTCAGCCAAATATCCAATTTTAGCACTCTTAAAGTTTTGTTATAAAATTCTTCCCCACTTTATAACAAGAATGGCCTTTCCTGCATGTTCAAGAACATGTTCCTCATTTCTGTCTATGATTTCATCATGATACCATACCAACAGTCTATTCAGGATTACTTAGGTATCCACTTAGAGAACTCAGGCTTTCTCTATATCTCTTCTGTTTTCTTCCTGAGGCCTCACCAGAATTGCCTTCAACAGTCTGCTCATGGCCACGTAAGCTTTTTCTAGCATGCACCTCAAAATCTTTTAGCCTCAACCCACTACCAAGTCCTAACATGGCTTCCACATGTTTAGGTACTTTTTATACCAGCACCTCACTCTTGGTACCCATTTTCTGTCTTTTTCAGTTTGGGCTGTTATAATATCATAGACTGGGAGGCTTATAAGCAACAACAATTTATTTAACAGTTCTGGAGGCTGGGCAGTGCAAAATCAAAGCGTAGGCAGATTTAATATCTGGTGAGGACTCTCTTCCTAATTCTCATATGGCTGTCTTTTTGCATGTCTTCACATGGCAGAAGAGGAAAGTGAGCTCTCCGGGGCCTCCTTTATAGAAGCAGTAGTCCTATTTAGAACTCCACCCTCATGACCTTATCACCTCCCAAAGGCTTAACTCCCAAATATCTGCACACTGGCAGTTAAGTTTCAACATATAAATTCTGTGGGAACACAAACATTCAGTCCATAGCACTTGGCATTGTGATAAACACTGGGCATAGTGTTAAACAATATAGATAAACCCCTGTAGCTCACATTCAATTGATTTCCATAACTAGGTGGAATGATCTAGAGGCAAGTGGCTCACTACAGAAGTTTGGTAATTAACAGTTCATGGGTGATATTTGACACCACAGGAGAGGGTGAGATCATCCACAGAAAATGTTGAACAAAAGAAAAAAGATGTTTAAAAATTTTGAGAAATACCACATATCAATGATAAGAACGATTTAGTGAAAATTGTGAAGTGGCAAGTAATGTAAGAGGAAGACCAGAAGAGAACATTTGCTGCATGGCAGACTAATCATTATCTGGTTGTTTGGATCACTGTAGAAAGTCAATCAAGGTTACTATGATGCAAAACCATATTGTTTCTAGGTGAACTGGTACCTATCCCCTTTGATATGAACCACCCAAATAACTCTCCCTTCAATACTGGGTATCAGGGACAGAGGTATAGAGAAAGAGTGACTTGAATGAATCCTTCCTCTCATAATAGTAGAAAGATGAACGTCTCCATTGTTTTCCAAAAGGAAACTGAATTCTAGTTCACCTATGTGATTATATAACTAAATAGATAACTGAATAATTGCAAAAAGAAGCCCACCCAACTGATATTTACTGAATACTTTATATTTTAGATTTTTCTCTTTTATTTCTCCCTCAAAAGTTTCTGAATAGAAATTCTTTTACCCTGTATCATAATGAGTGTAATGATGAAAATTGTATTAAGTGCTATATGCCAGACAAAATATTGCCCTACATGCATTTACATAATTTAAATATCATGAAAATATTTTGAGAGTATAATTTAGGAAAACTGAGATTTGGGGAAGTTGAGTAACTTGTCCAAGGTCACACAGCAATTATAGTAGTGGAAGTGAGATTTGAAACAAGACATAGCAGACTCTAAACTTGTGTTCTAAGTAGGTCTGTTCTATGACAACGCCTTCATGAAGCCAAAAGGGCTTTTGATTTGCCTTTCAGAGGAAGCTCCATATTATGTTCAGAATCAATTTTAATCTTGTTATGAAACCAAAGAATATATTGTGACATTTCATTCATTAAAATTACATAATACCCTCATCTTGATATACAGATAACCTCCACAAAAGTGAAAACAAATTCACACAGTATTTTTCTCCTATGAATTTTTTAAGGAGCTAATTTATTCATGAACAAAAATGAATAAAACCACCTCCTCACCAGTAAGGTAATGTTGTTTACGTGAATCACTTTTTGCTTGATGGAGCTAGATAGTGTCCCTTGGGATTATGTTTTGTTTCATATGCAAGTGTCAATCATGAAGGAAACATTATTTGTTAAAAAAAAAATGGTTACCAGCATCTGAGTTCTATTTATGGGTAATACCAACCGATATGGTTTGGCTCTGTGTCCCCACCCAAATCTCATCTTGAATTGTACTCCCATAATTCCCACATGTTGTGGAAGGGACCTGGTGGGAGATAATTTGAATCATGGGGCAGTTTCCTCCATACTGTTCTCATGGTAGTGAATAAGTCTCATGAGATCTGATGGTTTTATCTGCGGTTTTCACTTTTGCATCTTCCTCAATTTTCTCTTGCCACCATCATGTAAGAAGTGCCTTTTGCCTCCTGCCATGATTCTGAGGCCTCCCCAGCCATATAGAAGTGTACGTCCAATTAAATCTCTTTTTCTTCTTAGTCTCAGATATGTCTTTATCAGCAGTATGAAAACAGACTAATACAGTAAATTGGTACCAATAGAGTGGGATGTTGCTGAAAAGTTACCCGAAAATGTGCAAGCAACTTTGGAACTGAGTAACAGGCAGAGGTTGGAACAGGTTGGAGGGCTCAGAAGAAGACAGGAAAATGTGGGAAAGTTTGGAACCTCCTAGAGATCTGTTGAATGTCTTTGAAAAAAATGCTGATAGTGATATGAACAATAAGGTCCAGGCTGAGAAGGTCTCAGAAAGAGATGAGGAACTTGTTTGGAACTGGAGAAAAGGTGACTCTTGTTATGTTTGGTTTTTTTTTTTGTTTGTTTGTTTGTTTTTTGAGACGGAGTCTCGCTCTGTCACCCAGGCTGGAGTGCAGTGGCGCTGTCTCCGCTCACTGCAAGCTCTGCCTCCCAGGTTCATGCCATTCTCCTGCCTCAGCCTCCTGAGTAGCTGGGACTACAGACGCCCGCCACCGCGCCCGGCTAATTTTTTGTATTTTTAGTAGAGACGGGGTTTCACCACTTTAGGCAGGATGGTCTCGATCTCCTGACCTCGTGATCTGCCCGCCTCAGCCTCCCAATGTGCTGGGATTACAGGCATGAGCCACCGTGCCTGGCTGACTCTTGTTATGTTTTAGCAAAGAGACTGGTGGCATTTTGCCCCTTCCCTAGAGATTTGTGGAACTTTGAACTTGAGAGAGATGATTTAGTCCTTTAAGTATCTGGCAGAAGAAATTTCTAAGCAGCAAAGCACTCAAGAGGTGACTTGGGTGCTGTTAAAAGCATTCTGTTTTAAAAGGGAAAAAGAACATAAAAGGAAAATTTGCAGCCTGACGATACAGTAGAAAAGAAAATCCCATTTTTTGAAGAGAAATTCAAGCTGGCTGCAGAAATTTGCATAAGTAACAAATTACCAAATGTTAATCCCTAAGACAATGGGAAAAATGTCTCCAGGGCATGTCATAGGTCTTCATGGCAGCCCTTCCCATCACAAAGACAGAAGCCTAGGAGGAATAAATGGTTTTGTGGACCAGGCCCAGGGACTCCATGCTGTGTGCAGCCTAGGACTTTATGTCCTGTGCTCCAGCTGCTCCAGCCATTGCTAAAAGGGGTCAAGGTACAGCTAGGCCCATGGTTTCAGAGGATGCAAGCCCCAAACCTTGGCAGCTTCCATGTGATGTTGAGCCTACATGTGTGCAGAAGCCAAGAATTGAGGTTTGGGAACCCCCACCTAGATTTCAGAAGATGTATGGAAATGCCTGGATGTCAAGGCAAATGATTGCTGCAGGGGTGGGGCCCTCATAGAGAACCTCTGCTAGGGTGGTGCAGAAGGCAAGTGTGGGGTCAGAGCCCCCAAACAGAGTCCCTACTGGGGCATCACCTAGTGGATCTTGAGAAGAAGGCCATGTCCTCCAGACCCCAGAATGGTAGATCCAACAGCTTTGACTGTGCATCTGGAAAAGCTGCAGACACTCAATGCCAGCCCATGAAAGCAGCCAAGATGGGGGGCTACACTGCACAAAGCCACAGGGCTGCCCAAGACTATGGGAACCTACCTCTTGCATCAGCATGACCTGGATGTGAGACCTAGAGTCAAAGGAGATCATTTTGGAGCTTTAATTTGACTGCCCAGCTGGATTCTGGACTTGCATAGGCCCTGTAACCCCTCTGTTTTGGCCAATTTCTCCCATTTGGAATGGCTGTATTTGCCCAATACCTGTACCCTCATTGTATCCAGGAAGTAACTAGCTTGTTTTTGATTTTATACGGTCATAAGTGGAAGGGACTTGCCTTGTCTCAGTTGAGACTTTGGATTGTGGTCTTTTGGGTTAATGCTGAAATGAGTTAAGACTTCAGGGGACTGTTGGGAAGGCATGATTGATTTTTAAATATGAAGACATGAGATTCGGAGCAGGCGGGGTGGAATGATATGGTTTGGTTCCATGTCCTCACCCAAATCTCATCTTGAATTGTACTCTCATAATTCCCACGTTTTGTGGAAGGGACCCAGTGGGAGATAATTTGAATCATGTGGGTGGTTTCTCCCATACTGTTCTCATGGTAGTGAATAAGTCTTATGAGATCTGAAGGTTTCATCACATGTTTCTGCTTTTGCATCTTCCTCATTTTTTCTTGCCACCACCATGTAAGAAATGCCTTTCACCTCCCACCATGATTCTGAGGCCTCCCCAGCCATGTGGAACTGTAAGTCCAATTAACCCTTTTTTTCTTCCCAGTCTCAGATATGTCTTTGTCAGTAGCATGAAAATGGACTAATACACCAAAACGTTCTTCTTTTTTTTTAACTTTTATTTTAAGTTTAGAGGTACAAGTGCAGGTTTGTTACATAGGTAAACTTGTGTCATGGGGGTTAGTTGCAAAGATTATTTCACCACCGATCACTATTAAGCCTAATATCCATCAGTTATTTTTCCTCATCCTCTCCCTCCTTCCGTCTTCCACCCTCAGAAAGGCCTACTTTCTTTGCTTCCCTTAAATCATTTAGATTACAGTTCTAATCACCTACCTGCCTTATTGGAAAGCTACTAGCATAATTATCCTATTTCCCTCTGCAGAGCAAGGAGCCCCAGTAAAGTTGAGGTGAAGCCATACTGGAGTAAGGTAGGCTCCTAATCCAATATGATTGGTGTCTTTATGAGAAGATTATTATGTGAAGATACAGGGGAAATCCCATGTGAAAAGGTAATGACTGGAGATATCCAGCTGCAAACCAAGGAATGACAAAGATCGCCAGAAAACTACTATAAGTGTCTTGGCTATCTTAGTCCTTTCATGTTTCCATAACAAAATATCTTAGACTGGGTAACTTTTAAACAATATAACTTTATTTATCACACTTCTGGAGACTGGGAAGTCTAAACCTAATGCCTTAGCAGATTTGATTTCTGATGAGGGATTGCTTTCTGGTTGATAGATGCTGCCTTCATACTGTGTCCGCACATGGTGGAAGGAGCTAGCTAGCTCTCTGGAGTCCCTTTTATAAGGCCACTAATTCTTTTTATGAGGATTGTGCCCTCATGACCTAATCTCCTCCCAAAGTGCCCACTTTCTAATACTATCAGACTGGGGATTAGGTTTCAACGTATGAATTTTGGGGGAACACAAATGTTCAGATCATAACAAGAAACTAAGAAAAAGGAATGAAACAAATTCTTTCCTAGATTGTTCAGGGGAAGCATGGTTCTAATGACACCTTGATTTTGGACTGTTAGCTGCCAGAACTGTGAGATAATACATTTTTGTTGTTTTAATCAACCCAGTTTGTGGCACTTTCCTATGACAGCTCCAGTAAATGAATATATATGTGTTTTTTACTGTGGTTGCCATCACAGTCAGCCTTGCATCATGAACTACTCTTAATAGAGTATTTATAAATTTATAATTTATAAATACTCTATTTATAAATTATAAATTTATAATTTTATAAATACTCTATTTATAAATTTGTAAACTTAATCGAGTAATGAAAAATTCCAAGAGATGGAAGGGGCACTTTGGATCGTGTAGTCCAATCTCCCATCCCGAAACTCTTTCTTTCAGAATCATTCTTGATACATGATTATGTGGTCTCTGCTTAAATTACTGATTACCCAATATACCAGAATAGGCACAATAAAAGATACAAAATATATAAACCATTTTCTATCTTCATAGAACTTATAATTTACCCAGAGAAAATATTTGCAACTAAATACTTATTTGAAGATCTAAATAGATAGAAATAGGATTATTTATTATGCATGTGTCAGAAAACTCAACTCTCACTAGAGTAAGCTAAAGTAAAAGTAATCAACTTACATAATAGAGTAGTCCATGGATGGGTCTAAATTTAAAAGCAGCTTGACAGAGAACTCAAAATATAACACTACAATGAATATCTGGTCTCTCCTTTCTCAAGGTTGGCTCTAACCATAGGCTTAGTCTCCTCATAATGTAAAAAAATATAGATAAAGCAATGTTAGGTATTTTAGCTGCAACCAAATGAGAAAGAGACTATAAGTTTCTCAGCAAAATATCTGAGGTTAACAAATAATGGGTTTACATGCGTTAAATGCTCACTTTTAAAATAATCAGTGGTCTAGAGTAGCAGAAAAATTCACCTCTGGAGCATAAGGAGGAATAATGCTCCTAAACTGAGATGAGGAAAGGGATTAACCTTGGAAAGGAAAGATGAAGGCTCTTAATGTAATAAATGGCATATTGCTGGGGAGGCAGCCAGCCAATATCTACTAGATAAGAACAAATTCTACCGTATTATGTTGGTACATATATAGAAGACAAACTTCATTCCTCCTGAGCTATTTGAGAAAGTTTCATGAAACAAAACAAAACGAAACAAAACATCTTTTCTAGGTCTGAAATAATAGAAAACATAGAAAGAAAATACATAGCTGTGTACAATGAAATATCATAAATCAACACAAAGACTCCTAAAAGAGATCACAGTCCTAGGGTGTGGTGAGTAGGAATTGATATAAAATAAGAATGGAAAGAAATGTATGAGTTGAATTGTAAAGGGCCAGAAATGCCATCAGAAGCATCAGAAGCTACCTTTACACTAAGGAGCCAAACTGACAGATGAGAAGTTGCTAAGTAATCTGTCTTAAAAGAGTTACTTCAAGTGATAGATTAAAGAGGAGACAGGAAATTACGGTAATTATCTAAAGTAAAATATGAAGGCCTAAATTAGGACTGAGGAGGTGAAAATAGAAAATATACCACCAATTTGGTAATCTACAGGATTTGGTGGTAGGTGAGAGAGAATGGTGAGAAAGTACCTCTGAAATTTCTTCAGTAATCACTGGGAGAAGGTAATGCCTTTAACCAAGGCAGGAGCTAATTTAAAGGGTGAGAAAAGGAGAGAGGTAATGATTTTAATTTTGAATTTATTGATTTTATGTTATTTAAATATACTAATATAAGGATATTTTAAAACTACACTGAGAAAAAAATATATATTTATATATGTGGAATATATATATATATATATAAATTTTTATATATATGAAACTATCAAGGGGTCAAGAGATTAAAATGTTGATCTTTTGCCGGTACTCAACTTGCATTAAAACAAATCTGAAAGGCAAACTTTGTATGAAACCTTAATTCTTCCTTTGCCACAAACCATAAAAATTCCTCACTAAAGTTATTTCACTGAAAATTTCCCCCAACTCAGTGTGTGTTCTACATAATTGTCTTTTGTGTCATTCTTTGTTTTTAGACCCCCCAGGCTCCTTGGGGTAAGGACTTTGTCATTAATTTAGCACAGCTGAATATATTACATGGTGCCATGTGTATTTATAGAACTTTGCTAAGTAATGATGATTCAGTTTTGGTAATCAGCACTTGCGATGATCATATGGTTATGCAGATCAACACTTACTATGCAAAAATCATTTCCTATGGGGCAGATGTGCTGGTCTCCCTCCTAGTAAATTTTTAGATCAGTAAATTTTTTGCAATATAAAAGTCAATTTAGGATTATGCCTTTGATTGTCTTGTTACCCAAGGGAACCAAGAATACAGAACCTTTCTATGGTGCTAAGTTACTGAAAGTCAATAACACTGGTGGCATAAGCAGCAACTAATTCTAATAATCAAATGACACAAAATGCCCTTCTTGATCTAAGGCCATGGTGATAGTGATTCACTTTACTAAGCCAAAAATCTATTGTTCAAACACATTAAAATATTTGGAATACAGTCATTCAAATGTAATTCCTACAGTGAGGCATACTGAGATTTGGTTGGAAATTGGAAATAATAATTTTTACTATGTATTTTGGGAGATAACAAATGCTTCCAGATTTCAGACTTAACTTTTCTTCATAATCCCTTTAATTTATTTTAAAATTTCAAAAACAGTTGTATTGCTGTTTAAAAACTGGTAGCAAGTGCTTCATGTGTTAATTTAGTAATACTCAATTAAATAGTGGATTCTATCACTCTAATACCGATCCAAGTTAGTAAGAAAGAAGTCAGGAAGAGAGTAGCGAAGGAAGGAAGAAAGCAAAGAAGAGAGCAAGGAATTTGGAGAATTGAAATTTTAATTTCTAAAATATCAGATTTCAACCATGAAAAAAGAAATTATTTTAGAAGCAAGCCATGATCTTCAGCGTTTTCATGCTTAAATCTTCAAAATGCTCTCACGTGAAATTTAGCTTTAACGTTATACGTGGCTTCTTAGAAATTCTTAACCATTTCCCTTTATTTATCATAATCATCACCACTAGCTGATTGAAATCTTTGTGATATCTACTGATTTGAAGTTGATAGACAACTGTAACCCTATTTTTAAAATCTAGTAATTAAGTGACATTATATCACTCATCACACATAAAACCCTCAATAACAACATGAATATATTCAAGTATCCAATTATATTCTGGGGTGCACATACAAATAAACAGTACCACAATAGAAATTATTAACAGAAATGATGACAGTTCCACAATACTAGCTGCTGCAAACACCAAACATTATTAAATCTGTTGTTTTATGCTCTTCTTCCTCCCTCCTCACTGTGGGAAATGGTGGGTGGGGAGGAAGGCTGTAAACAAATTTTTGCTTGTGTATGTGTGTATTTAAAACTTCCTTCTTACTGTTCATCTTTGGCACTAACTAGAATAAACCTGTAAAACAATGTCTTTAATACTAGAGTGGTTTTTGTCTTTCCTTTGTTGTTATTGATGTTGTTTTGTAAAGATACATGTAAAGAAACACTATTTTTATGTTTTTGGAGAGCAGGATTAGAAAATGTGGGTCTATTCAATCTTGATGGGGATAAGTGACTAAAAAGCAATGTGAAAATACAGAATACCTGGGTCCACGTGTCAATGTTATATAGGTTCTAAATTAGATATACTTTGAAATTGAGGCTTGCTGGCTTCCAATGTCTTTTTAAACTTCCCCAAAATTGATCAGATTGGAGATTATAAAAGAAAGGAGACATTGGAGATATAAAAACAAAACTAGACAACTTGTGGGTGGTCCCATAGAGTACAGCAAAATAGCAGAGCTAGACCACAAAACACCAGAAAAGCCAGACTGTGATAGTAAAGCAATGAGAAAGAAAAAAATCTGGCAACTTTCTGATCTCCCCTCCTCCTGAGTATTTCATTATGTTTATGAGACTACTTCTGCAGTATGGGTAAAGCGGGTGTAGAATAGTTTCTCATATGTGTGCACTTTTGTAAAGAAAACTATGCAGGCAACATCCATTGTACCTGAGAAGATCTAAATGTGCAAATACATCAAATATTTTTTATTTTTTAGATTTCATAAGGATTATAAAAATAAAAGCAGAAAAGTCCCAATTCATTCTTTCTAGTAGTTAGAATGCTGACACACAACTAAAAGGGAAAGAAGACCTTGTAAGGACTTCAGAAATGAAGAATATGAAATAGAGGTGAAAAGTAGCAATGTTTCATTCGGGCTCACAGATAAATAGTTTTAGGGAATTGTTCAAATATCTTATAAATATAGTTTTAAATTTATAAATATTAGAGACATCCATTACTTGCAATGCTTAAAAATTATCACTCATAACCTTGTAACAGGCTTATTTTGGAATAGTAACTCAAAAGCAATATTATTAAAAATGTATTTATTTTGTAAGATTCTCAGAAATGTGAACCTGCAACGGTCATCTATACCAGTTAGCCTGCTGGGAATTAAAGGTCTTGTAATTTTTATCCTTTGCTCATTATTACACAAAGGAGGTGGGAAGAAGTAAAACTGCTCTAATTTAAAAATATCTTTCTATTTATTAACCCCCCCCCAAACACTCCCATTTATGCCTCACAATTCTTGGATAAATGTCCTAAGCGTAGTAAAGCCAGATCTGTTTGTGCAATGGCCACCTTCACTTTACCTTCTGTGTTATAGATTTCAGTGAATAAACCTGTGTTACTCATCCTTTTCAACTTTGTGAAGGTAAACATTTAATAAATAAGCAGAGAATATATATATATATATATTGTGTGTGTGTGTGTGTGTGTGTGTATGTTTGTGTGTTCACAGAAGTGGTAAGGACTGAGGCAAACTGTGAAACAGATTTTCTCTTCTCTCTCTAAAGGGGCCAGCTGACCTGAAACTTTCAGTGGTTGTTCCTATTTCTGGATGCAGGCTTAGGATTGTCAGATGTCTTGATTTTTAAAGGAGTCATATTTTTTGTTTGTTTTGTTTAACTCTCAGGACCCATAACCAAAATACATACCTGGAGACAAACCTCATTTTCTTATACTTTGTACACAGGTGAATCAGCAAACAGCAGATTAACGAGTTTATAAACTTGGACTAAATTATCACATCAGAATTCCACCTCAAAGGAAAGAGAATTCGTTTTATTAAAGAATTTGTCCTCTTTTGCCCTTAACCCATCCATTCTTACTGCATACCTTCTTCCCTCCCTGTTTTTTCCTTCCCTTCTTCCCATTTCAGATTTCCAACTTACCATCCAACCTTTCTCCTTTTGCTTTCTTACATTCAACAAATACTTACATAGCTCTGCTCCAAAGCCTGTACCCTATCAGACACTTTCCTCTCACATTTTTTCAAGTTGTCTCTCTTTTCCCTGCATCCTCCATCTTTCTCTAATAACTTTCCTTTAAAAAATCATGTTCCTTTATACTATAAGACTATTCTTTCGAAAACTTGTTACCCTACACTGTAATAATTGTCCTTCCATCTTTTTTCTTTTAAATGATTCTTTCTCACCACCAAAAATGTTTAAAGCATAGTCTAATGCTCAGTGCTTTTATCTCCACATTTAAACTCTTACTTCTTGAATGAGACAAATCCATCTTTTGAAAACACTCTCCCCAAAGTTTGTCTTTTTTTTCTCTTTTTAAATTCCTTGACTTGTATTTTGTAGATGACAGCTGAGCCTTCCCAATTTTCCTTAAATCAAATTCCTAAAATCCTTAAATTTGCCTTTAATTTCTGTGACATTCCATTATCCTCCTACATACATTTAAATTTAATTTTGAAGAATGTTTTGTATCATTTTTATGACATTTAGTGTTTTCAATCACAAAACTAATACAAGTTAATTAAGAATTGAAAAATGCATGAGATCTTTTAAACAAATGTTCCTGGGACAACTGGATATCCACATGCAAAAGTAAAAAGTTGAATCCCTACATATTACCATATACAAAAGTTAACTCAAGATTGGTAATAGACCTAAATGTAAGGGCTAAACCTATAAGATAAAACCCTTACAAGAAAGCAGGTGTAAATCTTCATGACCTTGGATTAGGCAATTGTTTCTTGGATATGACACCAAAAGCATAAGTGACAAAAGAAAAGATAGATAAACTGCATCAAAATTTAAAACTTCTGTGATTCTAAGAATTTCATCGAGAAAATGAAAAGACAGCTTACAGAATGGGACAAAACATTTTCAAATAATATATTTCCTATGGGAAATTTGTATCCAGAATATATAAAGAACACTTACAATGCAACAATAAAAAAGACAAATAACCTAATTTCAAAATAGACAATGAATTTGAATAGACACTTCTCCGAAGAAGATAGACAAATGGCCATTAAGTAAATGGAACATGCTCAACATCATTTGTCACAGGGAAATGCAAATCAAAACCACAATGAGATACCACTATACACCCACTGTAGTGTGTAGATACCACTATACACCCACAGAAATGGCTAAAATTAAAAAGGCAAAAGCAAGCATTGGCAAGGATGTGGAGAAATTGGAATCCATTGCCTAATCCAGGGTCATGCAGTGCCGATCAGATCATAAAACAGTGCAGCCACTTCGGAAAACAGTTCATCAGTTGTTTAAATGTTTGTAATATTAAACATAGTGTTGCCATAGACAGAACAATTCTACTCCTAGGTATATACCCAAGAGAATTAAAAATGTATATTTACACAAAAGCTTGTGTTTTTCGTAGCAGCATTATTCTTAATAGCCAAGAAGTAGAAATAGCCCACTGATTAATGGTTAAACAAAATGTGATATATCCAAAAATGAAATATTATTTAGCAGTAGAAAGGAATGAAGTACTCATATATGCTGAACTATAAATGAACTTTGAAAATGTTATGCTAAGAAAAAGAAGCCAGTCACAGAAGACCATATACTGTATGATTCCATTTATATGAAATGTTCAGAATAGGTAAATTTGTAGAGATAGAAGGTAGATTAGTGGTTCCCAGGTGATGGGGACAGTGGGGAATGTGAAGTCATTGCTAATGGGATTTGGCTTGGGAATGATTAACGTATACTAAAATTAAATAATGGTGATGGTTTGTACAACTCTGTGAACATACTAAAAGCCATTAAACTGTACACTCTAAAAGGATGAATTACTTGGTATCTGAATTGTAGCTCAATAAAACTATTAGAAAAAAATACATAAGAACACAGATTAGAAAACAAAAATCACCTATGAACTCAACATCCAAATATGATTACTCTGAATCTAGGAGAGAAATAGGACAGATTTTAGACCTAGAGCTGCATTGGAATAGTGTTCTTTTTCACTTACTAATGTAGTCATGGCTAAGTTCTTTAACTTCTTTGGCTTTAAAAAAAAAATCTGTAAATGGACGCATTAGTAAGCACAGGGTAAACTGCTATTAGAAATAAGCCCTGAAATATAATGTATCAAATATAACCAGTCTATTCCTGGGCTCATATAATAGTCCAACAAGGTTGGGTTTAGGTTGGTGGCAGCTCTCAGTGATTTGAGAATCCAGGTTCCCTTTAGATTTTGACTTTGCTATCATCTACGACAGGGGTTAATAACTTTTTCTGTAAAAAGCCAGATAATAAATATTTTAGGCTTTGCAAGCCATAAAGTATCTGTTACGACTACTTAACTCAACTCTGCTGGTGCAGCATAAAGCAGGCATGGACAATATGCAAACAAATGTGTATGGCTGTGTTTCAATAAAACTCTTTACAAACAGGCAGTAGGGCAGATCTGGTCCATAGGCCATAGTTTGCCATCCCAGCTGCGGGGTCTTCCAGGCCATCTGCATCCAGCTAGCAAAAAAAAAAAAAAAAAAAAAAAAAGAAGGTATGGAGGAAGCATATCTGCTTCATAAATGCTAAGCCTGTAAATTGAACTCATCATTTTGTTCACATTATCTTAGTGAGAACAAGTCAATATTATAAAAAATAACACTTACCTGTGAGAGGGGTTGGAAAACGTCTGCAAACATCCACTTCCTAGCTTCACCTCTTTGGAAGGTGGGATGAATTTGGTGGACGGTTACTCACTTTTGATACATTTATGGTACTGATGTGAAGATGAATAATAGTATCTATAAAGTTCCTCGAACATAAAAGCATTCAGTGTACTATCCTTCTTATCATATATAGTTTTAGCAAATATTTCAATCTTCTTTGATTATAACTTCTGTCTTAATTTTATTATTTTTTAAAAACGTATGAAATTTATTTTATTATCCTCTTCCTAAGGTTTATTCTACTATGATTATCCACAGCCCCTTTTCTCTACCTTATTTCCATTTTTCACCCAATTCTATTATTAAATTAGTTAACAATTCAACTACCAGTTTTTAATAATATTACAGGTTAAGCATCCCTAATTTGAAAATCCAAAATCCAAAATGCTCCAAAATCTGAAACATTTTTAGTACCACCATGATGCCACGTGGGTGGCTGAGATAGTGACACCTTTGATTTCTGAGGGTTCAATGTATGCAAACATTGTTTTATGTACAAAATTTTTAAATATTGTAGAAAATTACCATTAGGGTATATGTATCAGGTGTATATGAAACATAAATGAATTTCATGTTTAGACTTAGCTCCCATCCCAAAGATATCTCATTATGATTATGCAAATATTTAAACATCAAAAACATCTGAATTTTCCTTTTTTTTTTTTTTTTTCAAATAGGGTCTCATTCTGTGGCCCAGGTTGGAGTGTAGTGGTATGATCTTGGCTCACTGCAACCACTGCCTCCCAAGTTCCAGCGATTCCCCTGTCTCAGCATCCGGAGTAGCTGGGACTACAGGCAAGCGCCACCGCGCCTGGGAATTTTTGTGTTTTTGGTAGAGATGAGGTTTCATCATGTTGGTCAGGCTGGTTTGAACTCCTGACCTCAAGTAATCCGCCTGCCTCGGCCTCCCAACGTTCTGGGATTACAGGCGTGATCCACCGCGCCCAGCCAAAAACTTGAAATTCTAAACACTTCCGGTCCCAAGCATTTTAGATAAGGGATACTCAAACTGTCTTATATTCTGTGGTCTCCCAAGTTCAAAATTTCTGAATTTTTTTTAACTTACCTTTATACATATATTGACTCCCTGTATACATTTCCTTTTTATTTTTATTTTTGTCTTTTCTAGTATAGTTTATATGTCTTTCTCTCAGTTTTTCTGCCCATTCTTTACTGTAAAGTGTATTGGATTCCCAGGGCTGCCTAAACAAAGTACCACAAACTGGCCACTTAACAGAAATTTATTATCTCCCAATTCTGGAGGCTAGAAGTCTGAAATCAAGGTATCGGCAAGGCGATGCTCCTCTCTGAGACCAGGAAGGAAATCTTTCCATATCCCATCCCACCTTCCGGTAGTTCGCTGAACAGTCTTTGCAGTTTCTTCCCTTGCAGCTGCACAACTCCAATTTTACCTTTGTCGTCACTTGTCATTCTCCCTGCAGGTGTCTATGTTCTCATGACGATCTTATAAGAATATTATTTATATTGGATTAGGGGGTCCACTCTACTTTAGTGTGACTTCATCTTAACTAATTACATGTATAGTGACCCTATTTCCAAATAAGATCCCATTCTGAGGTATTGGGGGTTTCGACTTCTACATATGTGTATTTGGCAGGGGAGATAGAATTCAATACGTACAATTCGGTACATACAAGTCCTCATAACCTATTTCCCAGACCACTATGGTAGCTTTTTTACCCATCTTGCAAGCAGAGTGGTCCAACACAGAGAACATTAATATTGCTTGCAAAATAAATAAGACATCTGTGTATACACTAAAACTGACATTAAAGCCTTAGAGAAAGTTAATTCTAGATAAACTTTGGAAAAAGGAGGACTGGAAATCTTTCTTTCCTTTATACCCTCTATTCAGTTTTCTCAAAATTCAGTGAGCATGTACATCACCTGGGGATTTTGCAAAGGAAGATTGTGATTCACTAAATCCCAAGGAAGGGGCTGGGATTTTCTTCTTTTTGAAAAAATATTGCAGTATATATTCTGCTAAGCAGAAATCATAATATTTACTTTATAGCATTGTCATGAGGATTATATGAGGTCGTGTATGGGAACATGTCTACCATACATAACTTCTGACATGGGGTCGAGGGGTCCTGCAATAAATATTGTGTCTAAATTTATAATCATAATTACACAACTCTGTTATTTAAAAATGTTAACATCATAAGCTAGTATTATTTCTCTGAATGTCCCATGGAGATTAGCATTGCCTTGCTCCCAAAATATTCAATAATTATTTTCTTTATGAATTTTTGAAAGTAAGGCATTTGATAAGATGCCTTCTGTATTTCGAAATAGCACAACTCTAAATAAGAAAAGAAAATTTTAAGAAATTATGTCAAAGGGAGAAAAAAGAAAATAAGTATATCATGGCCAAGTTGAGTTCATTAGTATTCTCCTTTATTTATAAGTCATCCCGACAATGTTTTGCTCATATAGGAAATATATATAGTGTTTCAAAGTTGGTTATTGAAGGTAAAAAAAAAAATCTGTTTTACGTTTTAAAGTAAAAAAATTTTCTTTAAATAAAAACATGGTGTCGAATCTTAGCATTTACTTGTTTTAACCACAACAACAACCTGCTTTCATACATATTCTACACACACTATCATTTCTTCAGCATTCTTTGTTCTGAAAGATTGCACAGAAGTCTAAGTAGTGTTAATCTCAATCCTTTTATCTTCTAATGTATGAAAATCTAAAACTGAATTAACTCACAGAGCTTAAAGGACATTTAGTGATCATTTGATCTCCTTTTATAAATAAGAAAACATTACCTAAAATAATTATGTCACTGTGATCATGCTGCTAATTAGCGCCCAAACTGAGATTATAAACTGGACTCTCGTCAAGTGCTTCTCGCAATCAAATTGGAGATAATGAAGATGAAATCCAGGAATGATCCCTGAGAGTGAGAACTCTGTGTGGAAGCCCCTTACACTTGGCACAGAAGTGGTCGAGTGCGCGTCTTGCAGAGTGATCCAGCTCACAGAAGATTAATATTGCTTGCAAAGTGAATAAGACATCTGTGCATACATTAAAACGGGCGTTAAAGCCTTAGATATCGTTAATTCAGGAAAAACAATTTTGAAAAAGGAAGACTGGGAATCTTTCTTTGCTTCATACCCTGTATGCAGTTTTCTCAAACTCAGTGAGCATGTAAATCACCTGGGGATTTTGTAAATGGAGATTGTGATTCAGTAAATCCCAGGGAAAGGGCTGACAGTCTGTATTTCCAACAAGCTCCTAGGTGATGTTAATGCCTATGATTCAAGAACACGCATTGAATAGCAAACTCAAGAATTCATGTAGATTACAATCTGTGGTGTCTGAGCAGTGCTTAGCCCTGTCCAAGGCACCTTCCTCTCAATGACCACAGTACTTGCTATCTCCAGCACTGGCCTGGTCCTTAGCTCTATCCTACTTTAATGTTATATCCAGGGTTTTTTTCTACACAACTAGAAAAATCTTTTTGAGGTATAAGATTATGACTCATATCTCATTGAATCTGTAGTGGCTAGCAATGTTGAAGACTTGGAAATATTTATGGTTTACTATACTGTTGAGAAAAAAATATTTAAAACTCGTATTCAATGAAGGAAGTCCTTTTTAAACATTAGTTTTTGGACAAAATTTGAATAATTTTTTAAGCTAGTCATGTTATATCTGCTATGATATGCGAATCATGCCATATTGTAAAATGTATGATTGGGTTTATCATATGCATTAACCTATGGCATATAGTGCTTTATTTATTTTGAAAAAGAAATATTTAGTAATTCCATTTACAATTTCATTTCTATCTGAAACTGGAAATTATAAATCCATTATATACAAAAAGTCTTTTGTATATGATGATAATGTTACAGGAAAAAATTAACTAAAAGTAAATCCAGTTTAAATAATAAAAATATTTTGGAAAAATTATGCTGAGAGATGAAAACAAATATTTTAAAAATAGGTTCATCTATTCAAACATTAATAAAATTAATAGTATGCATTAATTTCAAAATAAGTAAAGGATTCTTATTTGGAAGGAGATGAATTTTTCCAGTGAAATTATTTGAGGACAGGATAGGACACCTTTATATTTCTATGGCACAGCCTGATCATAAAGAGAGATATACTTGAAACAAATATTCTAGTGATTCATCAATTTCTTCAAGGTCTTTTTTGGTTTTATGATATCCAAATATTCTCTTTTGGAGCATATAAAATATCCTCATTCTTGGCAATTTTCTCTTTTGCAATTGGTAACTGGTCTATTTCTTCCATATGCTGATCTGTCAGTGTTTTTGCTTATAATTTAGGCAATTCTTCTCCATCATTTTCATTGTAGGAAATTATGGTGATTTTGCCTGAAATACCTATTCCCAATTCAAAAATGTATTAACAGCAAGGATCAAGGATATTTATTAGCATACATAGCCGGATATAGAGTATGCGCCAGATATCAGATGGCAGGTGCTTCTGACGCCATCAACGACTCACGTTCTCTTTGTCTCTAAACCTGACTTTCATATCCTAGGCCTCATCCAAAACTAGTTCCCTTGTAGTTTCACAATGGCTTCCAGAGATATTTTAGGATGCCTTTTTGATTTTCATAAGAAGAGAGAGCAAGAACATGTGAAAGAGAAAATTCTTCCCCATTCTTCCCCAAACCTAGAACGGAAGTCTTTCTCTTTTGTCAAGTGGACAATTAAAGTCATAGGCTCAAACTGAGTCAATGATGGCTAAGAGGGAGTTGTCAGGAACTTGGATTGTCTAATTAGAAATCCATCTGGAGATGAGGATTTGTGTAGAATCCTGAAAAAAATCAGAGATCACTTTAGAAGGAAGGAGAAGGTGTAGGATTATTCCAAGCATACTGGTTTTATAAAATCTAGCATCTTTTAAAACATTCAGCTTCATGTAACAATAAATTTGTCCTACTTTTATTTTGCACTGTCTTCTGACATCAAGTGAAAGTGACAATGAAGACATAATGAATAGGGAATAGATGCCAAGTTAAGAGTGGAGAGAAAGGACTAATTTTACAAGTGATTGTTTTATTAATACATATTTTTGTGCGGTAAGAATTTGGGTGTCTTATCAATCTTTCAATTGAAGAAACTCAGGAAATGAATACTTATGTAACAAGGATCCCCTATATTTCCCCTAATATATATTTCACGTATATTACATGCCTGTAATTTATTAGTTCCAAGGGAAAGTATTCAAATATTTTTTACTGTGCATCAACAAAAAAGAATGTAGATATTGACAATCCAAGGGGGTCATCTACGTTTAAGTTATAGAGAAGGTGACACAAAGGACCTCAATTTTTCCATGCACAGAAACAATGAATTTGAGGCATGTTCTTGGATAGTGAAGCACTCGAGCATCAACGCACGATGCAAGGTCACTGGAAAAAGCTCTGTCCTTGGTATTTTTCTCTGGCTCAGGAAACGATATGTGTAATAATATTGGTTAACAAAATTATATTCAGTTTGTAGGGGAATCTTATTATATTTGTCTCTTATTTGTGTGATTTTCCCTTTTTTTTTAGTTCTAAATTAATATGCAGCATTTGTAAACCCACGTAAGAATGAACTGTGTTCTAGCAGATTTCTTTTGTATCTTGTGGCACAAGAGCTATGCTGAATTGATAGGTGAAGATGGGGAGAAAGATTGGCCTTTTTTCATATACGTTGAGGACTGAATCTGTGAAAGAAGATGACCATCAAAAATGATATATTGTTACTCAAGGGTGACAGTTAGAAAGGTGCATGTCAGTAATGACAAGCACAGGGAGGGACATCAGCCAGAGGCATCAATTCCTTTGTCCTTGATCACAATGTAACGAGCACTGGATAAAGACTGAGGAGGCTAGTCCCTGACAACTAACTTTACATATAACTATAGAGAGAGTAAGAGAAAGGTCAAAATGTTTTATCAAGAGAAAAGAATCTCTACAGACTGGTGGCTAAGACAACAAGTTAAGTATTGAGGCTCAGAATAAAACATCTCTAGAAATACTCCTCTAGCATGCCTAGCAACATCTCTGCCTTTGTTTTGGCTGTTTGTTTGCTTTCTCCCTTGTCTTTCCACGAGCAGAAGGATCACACAGGGCATGTGGCCTTCAGGAAAGAAGTGACTGAGCAGGGTGAGGGTACGGGGTAGCAGCTAGTTAATTAGTTAGTGAAAATGCTGGCCTGGTCCCTTGGTACCAAGAATCAAGATGAACTGTGAGGAACAACTGAAAGGAACTCTACCTTAGCGTTTGTGATGATATGTGGGCAGGATAAAAATATTTCTCTTCCCCACAAGATTGTCTTTTCTCTTTCCAGTATTATCGAGGGAGGCTGAACACAAGATAGAAACACCAGCCAGGTGAATGCCCTTATTTTACTTCTTATCAGAATATCTTTTCTCAGTAGCCCCAATCTGAGTCATCATCTTTTCAGCATACTTAACTGTAAAAAATATATATATATCCAGATAGAGAATGAAACTAATGTTTAAAAGATAGAGAAAACCAAGATAGAAGAGTAAACTAAAGACAATTAACTCCATCTGGTTTGAGGATACTTCCATAGGACAGACAAAGTAGAAAATAGTTTTTGGAGCACTTTTCAAGCAACCAGCTTTGGTACCTGTTTTTCTTCTAGCTCTTTGGCACCAATTATCTTTCCTCACAATTACCTGTACTTTTCTGCTGGGCTCAGCCATTGCCATGCTGTCTTCCTGAGAAAAAGTTCACTCTATAATGCATGAAATTTAATATATAATAATAGTAAGAACAATTAAATTTGGTATAAACTTGCTGGCTGTCAGAGACTATTTAAAGTGTTTTATATTAATAATCATTTAATCCTCACAACACTTTAGTATGGGCCTTAGCTCCATTTTCCAGATGACAAAACCATGACACAGAGACTTTAAATTTGATCACACAACATTAAGTGGCAAAGCTGACATTCCAAGCCTAGTTTCCAGAGTGTATCCTAGCAGCTGCCTTGATATATAACCTCAAATCATTGTGCATAATATTTGGCAGTGAAATATTCTCTACTCTGAAGTGATTTTTTGGTCCCACTTCTAAAACTAGTATGTCATTTATCCTATTCTTTATTTTGATTTTTGCATAATTCACAAAAATAAGGCAATCCCTTGCATGTTTCTTCAAGGTTTCAGAATATTGATAGCTAGAATTGTTGCACAATTATCAATTTTAATTTAGGAAGTTTTTGTACTGGCCACAAACAACAATTCACTATTATTATTATTATTACTACAGTTTAGTGCATTAGAAAAATGCAAAACAAAATCTAAGTTGAAAAAGAAGAGTTACCTGGTGGCCTAATTCCAGATGTATTGAGTAAGTGCTAAGGGTTCTTGAGAAAGTGCTAAGAGATTCAGTCCCACCATTTATAAATGATAAGAGTAGCTAACTTTTAATGAGGCTCCCAGAGCTAAAATTTGATGAGTATATAAAGTATTATAAATTATTTTTTAAGTGGAAATGGTTTTCTTATTCAGATTAAAACAAGATTAGACAATATTTCAGAGAACTATTTGTTAGGAGAAAAGATCCTCTATTAAGTTGTTTTAAAATATTTCCCCATTTCTAAGGATACTATATAATATTCTCATATCCTTGGAAAGTGATCCATTTCTCTAAGAAAATATGATTTCTTGATACTTTGTTAAATATTTTTAAAAGAAAACTATTATTTCCTGGAAAATAAATAACAACTTTTTTCAGCAGGCCAAAGAAGCCTCGATCATGCGAGGGTTTATGATGACATAAACTTTTCCTAGACACTAAAGGAAGACATTGCTCCTAGCACTCTACCATCTGCTGCAGATATTTTAAAATTCTAAAGCACTAACAATGATGCAATTTGCTACATTTTGAGCTGCATTTTACAACTCTCTCTTTGCTGAATTACTATTGATGACATTAAAACCCTTTACAAATCAAGACAACACATTTGCTTGCTACTGCCACCAAAGAGCTGTCAGCTACTCTTTTTCTGTGCTGGAATATACCTGCTACCTTCTTCATGGTCAGCAATGTTTAAACCCTTTTAAAGAATGGGAAGTAGAACACAACATCATTGTCTACATTAATTATCACTTGTTTAAAAAAATACCCAGGAAGAAGGCAACCTTTGACTTGAAAAACAAATAAACTGGGAAGTGTAGTGAGCAATTTATTACATTTTTTCCTTCTCATGAATAAAAAGGAGTATTCTCCAGATTTCTGGGAACAAAAGACTGGGAATCACTGGAATGAGTTATATAACATAGGATATTCAAGGAACTAAAATATTTCTTCATGAGTACAGATGTTAAACTTGGAGAATTACTCAGAGAATATAAGTTTCCTAAAAAAAAGAAAAAAATGGCAAAAGTTAAGATCTAAATATTTGATAAAGATTTAAAAGTTTTCTTTTTTCTTGGCAGTTGAGCAAGTAATAGCTTCACAGATAGATAGATTTGAATAACTCCAATTTCAAAATTATTTTCAGCCAGTGATATTGTGATATGGGGCTTTCTGCAATACTGCTTGCTTAGAGGAACAGAGAGAATAAAAATCAGCAATTACCAACTAAGTTTCAGTGCAGCCTAACATCTGATAGTCACCAGTTTCAAACTTCAGAAATTATTATCAACTGTTACTTTCTAAAAGTCACTATAATATTCAAACATTTCCCCTGGAAAAATGGCACCTGCCAGAAAAAGTAACGGTATAAGTTATGCATCCATTTTACAGGACACATTTTACAAGAGATTTTCATATAAATGAAATTAATCGTTTGGGGAATTCTTGGTTAGTTTCCTAACATGTTTTTTCCAAAAAAAAAAAAAAAAATCTCTTCCTTGTTTTCTTTTCCTTAAGTTTCCATAAACTAGAATCTTCTTATATCCAATTTCTCATATTAATTTGTGTTACATTTCATTACTGAAATAATTTTAACCATTTTTATTTACCTATTTATTTATTTTTATTATACTTTAAGTTCTAGGGTACATGTGCACAACGTGCAGGTTTGTTACATATGTATACATGTGCCATGTTGGTGTGCTGCACCCATTAACTCGTCATTTACATTAGGTATATCTCCTAATGCTATCCCTCCCCACTCCCCCCAGCCCATGAAAGGCCCAGGTGTGTGATATTCCCCTTCCTCTGTCTAAGTGTTCTCACTGTTCAATTTCCACCTATGAGTGAGAACATGCGGTGTTTGATTTTTTTGTCTTTGCGATAGTTTGCTGAGAATGATGGTTTCCAGCTTCATCCATGTCCCTACAAAGGACATGAACTCATCATTTTTTATGGCTGCATAGTATTCCATGGTGTAATATGTGCCACATTTTCTTAATCCAGTCTATCATTGATGGACAATTGGGTTGGTTCCAAGTCTTTGCTATTGTGAATAGTAAAGCAATGAACACACGTGTGCATGTGCCTTTATAGTAGCATGATTTATAATCCTTTGGGTATATACCCAGTAATAGGATGGCTGGGTCAAATGGTATTTTTAGTTCTAGATCCTTGAGGAATCCCCACACTGTCTTCCACAATGGTTGAACTAGTTTACAGTCCCACCAGCAGTGTAAAAGTGTTCCTGTTTCTCCACATCCTCTCCAGCACCTGTTGTTTCCTGACTTTTTAATGATCGCCATTCTAACTGGTGTGAGATGGTATCTCATGGTGGTTTTGATTTGCATTTCTCTGATGGCCAGTGATGATGAGCATTTTTTCATGTGTCTGTTGTCTGCATAAATGTCTTCTTTTGAGAAGTGTCTGTTCATATTCTTCGCCCACTTTTTGATGGGGTTGTTTGATTTTCTCTTGTAAATATGTTTAAGTTCCTTGTAGATTCTGGATATTAGCCCTTTGTCAGATGGGTAGATTGCAAAAATTTTCTCCCATTCTGTAGGTTGCCTGTTCAATTTGATGGTAGTTTCTTTTGCTGTGCAGAAACTCTTTAGTTTAATTAGATCCCATTTATCAATTTTGGCTTTTGTTGCCATTGCTTTTGGTGTTTTAGACATGAAGTCCTTGCCCATGCTTATATCCTGAATAGTATTGCCTAGATTTTCTTCTAGGGTTTTTATGGTTTTAGGTCTAACATTTACGTCTTTAATCCATCTTGAATTAATTTTTATATAAGGTGTAAGGAAGGGATCCAGTTTCAGCTTTCCACATATGGCTAGCCACTTTTCCTAGCACCATTTATTAAATAGGGAATCCTTTCCCCATTTCTTGTTTTTGTCAGGTTTGTCAAGGATCAGATGGTTGTAGATGTGTGGTATTATTTCTGAGGGCTCTGTTCTGTTCCATTGGTCTGTATATCTGTTGTGGTACCAGTACCATGCTGTTTTGGTTACTGTAGCCTTGTGGTATAGTTTGAAGTCAGGTAGCGTGGTGCCTCCAGCTTTGTTCTTTTGGCTTAGGATTGTCTTGGCAATGTGGGCTCTTTTTTGGTTCCATATGAACTTTAAAGTAGTTTTTTCCAATTCTGTGAAGAAAGTCATTGGTAGCTTAATGGGGATGGCGTTGAATTTATGAATTACCTTGGGCAGTATGACCATTTTCACAATATTGATTCTTCCTATCCATGAGCATGGAATGTTCTTCCATTTGTTTGTGTCCTCTTTTATTTCGTTGAGCAGTGGTTTGTAATTCTCCTTGAAGAGGTCCTCCATATCCCTTGTAAGTTTGATTCTTAGGTATTTTATTCTCTTTGAAGCAGTTGTGAATGGGAGTTCACTCATGATTTGTCTCTCTGTTTGTCTGTTACTGGTGTACTAGAATGCTTGTGATTTTTGCACATTGATTTTGTATCCTGAGACTTTGCTGAAGTTGCCTATCAGTTTAAGGAGATTTTGGGTTGAGATGATAGGGTTTTCTAAATATACAATCATGTCATCTGCAAACAGGAACAATTTGACTTCCTCTTTTCCTAATCGAATACCCTTTATTTCTTTCTCCTGCCTGATTGCCCTGGCCAGAACTTCCAACACTGTGTTGAATAGGAGTGGTGAGAGAGGGCTTCCCTGTCTTGTGCCAGTTTTCAAAGGGAATGCTTCCAGTTTTTGCCCATTCAGTATGATATTGGCTGTGGGTAGATAGCTTTTATTATTTTGAAATACGTCCCATCAATACCTAATTTATTGAGAGTTTTTAGCATGAAGGGCTGTTGAATTTTGTCAAAGGCCTTTTCTGCATGTATTGAGATAATCATGTGGTTTTTGTCTTTGATTCTGTTTATATGCTGCATTAAGTTTATTGATTTGCATATGTTGAACCAGCCTTGCATCCCAGGGTTGAAGCCCACTGATCATGGTGGATAAGCTTTTTGATGTGCTGCTGGATTCAGTTTGCCAGTATTTTATTGAGGATTTTTGCATGGATGTTCATCAAGGATATTGGTCTATAATTCTCTTTTTTTGCTGTGTCTCTGCCAGGCTTTGGTGTCAGGATGATGCTGGCCTCATAAAATGAGTTAGGGAGGATTCCCTCTTTTTCTGTTGGTTGGACTAGTTTCAGAAGGAATGGTATCAGCTCCTCCTTGCACCTCTGGTAGAATTCGGCTGTGAATCTGTCTGGTCCTGGACTTTTTTTGTTTGGTAGTCTCTTAATTATTGCCTCAATTTCAGAGCCTGTTACTGGCCTGTTCAGGGATTCAACTTCTTCCTGGTTTAGTCTTGGGAGGGTGTATGTGTCCGGGAATTTATCCATTTCTTCTAGATTTTCTAGATTATTTGCATAGGCGTGTTTATAATATTCTCTGATGGTAGTTTGTATTTCCGTGGGATTGGTTGTTATATCCCCTTTATCATTTTTAATTGTGTCTGTTTGATTTATTATACCTGTTAAGAAACCTACATCTACAATTGTCATGGATTTATGGACACTTCTTATTTATTAGACAGAAAATTTATTTGAAATTTGATATAAAAATAATTTACATATTCATAGAAAGGTTATTTCTTTTTTTCAAGTTTTAAGGTAAGAATAAAGCAGTTTTATCAAGTAACATTCTAATTCCCAAATGTTCTACTGCATAAAATGAGGGAAAGGTGACTTCGCAAACAACACTGAGGGTTGAGTCACCACACTTGGAAGTGGCAAACTCTTTGTCATCCTATTTTTATTATTGAGCACTTAGTGAAAGTGAAAGAGTGGTGAGGTTCTAAGCAGGTGGCCAGACAAGATGTGAATGAATCACTTGGAGTAAAGGCACAGACATAGCTTGTCACAAGAGCAAGATATTTGAAAAAGAGCCATCCATTAAATGATCCCACATACAGTTCTGTCCCCACCCAGAAAAGTATCCTGTCCCCAAAGACCTTCTGCTTCATATAATCACAATGGAATTAATAATGGCAATGTTATCCACTGTATATTACATTCTAGTTACCAAGATAGACACTGTGCATATATTATTTCTAACCACTAACTCAGTCCTACAGAGTGTATATCATTACTTTTACGTAAAAATGAGGAAAGGGAAGCTCAGATAGGCACATGGCTATGTAAGGTCCTAATACTAAGAAGTGGCTGAGCTGTGGGGCTTACCTGCATCTGACCTCAGGACTGACTAATATCACAGCCGAGGTCTATTCATCATAATTTGCAGCTACATGTTGCTTTGGTTGCATATAAAGTTGTTTCTGAGGAGAGTGGACTAAAAAAGGGCAACCCAAATATTTAAAATTTGATTTCTAAAATTCTGTTATCTGTTCATCTACCCTGAAAATAATTGAAAGTGGGGAACAAGTGCAATGGGCGTATGAAATTTAAATTTGAGACACAAGTGGACTCACTAAATTAGAAAAGTCTATGTCAGATTTCATCCTGTGGTACTGTAATAAATATATCACCTAAGATATTGAATGGTCTTCATGAATAAATGACTCCTTTTTGCCACTCCATTTTCACCTCTGTGCCCTTTACTTCCTCACTTTGTAGTGGCTGAATTAGGCAGACTGTAGACTTATTCTAGGTTTTTGATCAGTGTCTAGGTTAGAATCAAAACACACAGTTCTGAGGGTAAGAACAAAGTTTGAATGGAGGGAGTAACATAAGGCAGTCCTTTCCAACCTCTCTAGAATCTGTTATTTTGGTTTATTAGCGTTGACCAGTCCCCATGACAAACAGGAAAAGCCAGTCTCTGACACTTAGGACTCTGCCTCCCCTAGTTTTGATGCTCAGAAGGAGATGCTTCTAGCTTTTTCATAACTAGTCATATGTGATGCATTAGCAATAATACCTACGCAATCACTGTTAATTTAAAATGTGGCTCTGGACATTTTCATCAATAAACAATTATAATTGTAAATGCTTTTAAAAGTTTTATTGAGGCCGGGCGCGGTGGCTCACGCCTGTAATCCCAGCACTTTGGGAGGCCGAGGCGGGTGGATCACGAGGTCAGGAGATCGAGACCATCCTGGCTAACAAGGTGAAACCCCGTCTCTACTAAAAATACAAAAAATTAGCCGGGCGCGGTGGCGGGCGCCTGTAGTCCCAGCTACTCGGGAGGCTGAGGCAGGAGAATGGCGTGAACCCGGGAAGCGGAGCTTGCCGTGAGCCGAGATTGCGCCACTGCAGTCCGCAGTCCGGCCTGGGCGACAGAGCGAGACTCCGTCTCAAAAAAAAAAAAAAAAAGTTTTATTGAACTATAATTCCAGCTTATAATCAAACAAGGCCAAATTTGAACTTCAAGAAATATTCCGATTATATGGAAAATTTGTGAACTCCCTAGAAACATTACCATAGACTGACAATCTGAGGAAGAATCCTACAACCTAATAGAATAAATAGAATGAAGGGCCCATAATTATAAACAGAAAGACTTCCCTTTAAGCAGTACCTGCTGAAATGATGGCAGCTTTCTCTGAAAAGAATGCTTGATAATCAGGAAATGAACATTTAAGTTAGACAATGCTTTACCTTTTATTCTGTTTATTTTAACTGTATTTTTCTTTGTAATTATACTATAAACAGTTCATCGATGAACACTTGATATACCGCAGATGGTGAAGGGATTGGACAGTGTTGTATTCTTCAGCATCTTGGTCACTTTACCCTCATTAAGAGAGGTCTCAGCATTACAATTAGGAAGAGGTATTTGTTTTCTGTCTGCTTTATTGTTCATGAAAGAAAAAGGATGATTTCCCAGTAAAAGCACCAGGAATCTAACCCCTGGGTTGGCTCTTTATTCTCCCTGAAATTGTACTTGACTGCATAAAAATTATTTACCCTCTTAGTATATTTAAGAATGTTAAAAAGAAGACACTTGTACCTCTCTTAGAAAATCACATAAAGCTTGATCAATTAATATTTACAAAATAATTTGAACCTCTTGAAGTTCCATAGAGCTTCTAAATATTAAAATAGTGTATGACTTCAAAATCCACTTTTTAATCCTTTGGTTTTATTTAAAATTAGTGTCCTCCACCCAATATTAGTAAAAACTGAGAGTGAGCTGAGTAACAGATTTCAGCACTGTCAGTAAGGCAGCTTTCCTTTGCTTTGCCTGTATCTCTGTAGGTCTCCTTGTTAATCATTTTACTTTATTATTTATTCCATATATATTTCCATGAAGAGTTCTTAATGATAAAAATCTGATTTCTTGATCCACAATCAAATCTTACTATGGCCAGCTGCTATGTCTTCATAACTCTGAAAATATTACGTCTCTTTGCAAGTTGGCTCTAACACAAGGAAGGTTACTAAACTAACCCAATTAAATTGAGCATATCTGCAAGTTTAGATGATTATTGCTGTTATCTGTGAGGGCTGGGATCCAACGTGATGGATTGCTGGCTACCTTAGTGAATTCTAAAGGGGAAAAATATCTTATCCTGGATTAGCTTGAGTTGGCTTACATAAAGGTTTTATGATGCAAATTGGAGATATTGGACTTAGTAACAACCTACACTATCTGTTATATTCTCCTGTCTCATAGTCACAGGAAGCTTTCTTGAGTATGATGCTCCATCCTCATTAATAAGCTCTGTGTTGTACATCTTTGTCTGATATGAAGCTGCCATACCTTGTCACCAATTATAGGCTCTGAAAAGACCCATCTCATTATAGTACTTAAATTGCTTGTTCCTGAAGGTGATGCTTGGTGTGTCTCTTCTGCCTCTTGCCAACAGGAAAATCACCCTTGAAGTGAATAGATGTCAGTCAAAAGGTACAAAAGAAAAGCAAAAAGAATTAATAAAAAACCTGGCTGGAATATTTATCAGCTTATTGCACAGAAAAGAATGTTGATCAGACAAATAAATTGCCAGGCTAAAAGTGACACTTTTGAACATTTTAATCACATGAAACCTATCTGTCCATGAATTTGGGACCAAGCAAATATTTTGAATGTGAATCACATGTGCGGACCAAAGTAGATTGTTTATGTGACACATATCTCTAGTTTCAAATTTGGTATTACTGCCACCATTACTTCATAGCAATTTGCAGAATCTGTCATTGTAGCACCGAGGAAAGAATGCCATGTTTGAAAACACGTTTTCTCTATTTCTCATTGCATCTGTAGGTGATAGGACATTAAGCACAATGCAAGAGGATTCTTTTCTTGGATGCCATAACCCTGTTTTACAAACCTGACCCATGGGGTTTTTTAAAAATAAATTGTACTTGATCAGTAAATTGAAATATCAATTAATAAATTACTGGATTAACTGGGTAAAAAAAGGGGTATAGCAGAATGCTCTTCTGCCAAAAGAAAGCTGGAAAGCTAACATAATAGGATTGAAAGTATGCAAAACACATTTGAAATGCATTCAAAGAACATTCATTTCCAGGTGCAAAAATGTTCTATTTATTCTATTCCATTTTAAAAAGGAAAAAATGCATTATAAATTCTCTTTACTAACAATAAGCCCTATTATAAGTAAGTGTAGAAAGAAATGTTTATATTTTCCTTTATCCCTATTTACTTCTGGAATATATGAGTTTATTCACAGGTTAAACCAATAGAGACTATTTTAATGGTGAAGACTCTCCAAAGGCATTCTAGTCTCAGATATCTGTCCCATACCACCCCAGCTATAGAATTGAGTCACCCAAGGGCAAGATGAAAAGGTTCACAGAACTCCTCGGAAATAGAATGCAGTTTCTATTAGCCCTTGGAACACAACTATATCCTAGTTCTTTACAATACATCTCAAAAGTGTAGATCTTGTGGTGTCATCCAACACTCTATGCCTCATTTGAAGAGAAAATGTTCAATGTTAATACCACCAGATTTCCTCTTGACAAGAGACTCAATAAATTAAGCCCATTGTTTTAGTCAGTCTACCTAGTCTAGTTAGCTAAATCCTCAAATGCAGTGAGAATACACCATTTTCATATATTATCCACTTGCATACATGGATAAGCTTATATATGTATGTACACAAATGAACAATATTCAAGAAAGCTTTATATATATGTAAAACACATATATATAAGATTTACATTTGTGTGTGTGTGTATATATATATATATATATATATCAGCTTTCAGAAGAAATAATAGAAAGAGAAAAAAGATAATCAGATCAAATAGAAAGCATATATGTTGAAAAAATACTTTGTCCATGACACTTGTACAAGATACAACACATATCTCTTGTTTCAGATTTGGTGTTCACCTCCACCATTACTTCATAGCGATTTGCAGACTCTAACAATGCATGATCTGAATCTGGAAGTTGGAGAAAACTCTCCACTATTAATTCCTGGCCAAAACAATAACAGAATTCTGACATTCTCATTGAATTCAAAAGATCCTTCCATAATTGGTGTTTAGAAGCATTTTGGCTTTATTTCAGCAGCATCAAAAACTGAGAACATTAATTCACTAATTAACACTATCACTATCTTTTTACTATTACTCTGCAAAGCTCATTGGAAACTATACAGAACCAAATACTTATAAAGTCTTATTGCAAACCCAGCTTCTCAAAGAGAAGTTATGATATATGTGAACACATTTTGGTATTTAGTTAAATATATGAATATCATTTTCTACATTATTGTTTAGATATTTCAAAAGAAAATTTTAATTAAATATAAATTCAAACATATAAGTTAAAGTTATATTTACCCAGGTATCAAATAAACATGAAAGTGTAAGTGCTAAACATGATACAGGAAAAGACTAAACACATTTCACTTTTATTTTGTACACATAAGCTGTTTGAAAAAGGTTACTTTCTCTATCAGATTCTAATGTTTGGGCTATTTTTTAATATTCATTTATTTTAGTGGATAATAATACTTGTATATATTTATAGGGTACAATGTGATGTTAGCGTACATATACACATTATAGAATAATTAAATAAGACTAATTAATATGCCCAGCATCTCATATACCTATTCTTTCTCTTTTTTTTAGAAACTTTAAAATACTCTTTAGTAATTTAAAAATATGCAATAGAGTACACTGTTATAATATTAACTGTACTCACTATGCTGTATAAAAGATCCATATTAGTCAGTCTTGCATTGCAATAAAGGAATACCTGAGGCGGGGTAATTTACAAAGAAAGAGGTTTGTTTGGCTCACGGTTCTGCATGCTGTAGATGAAGCACAGTGCTGGCATCTACTTCCGGTGAGGGCCTTAAGAAGCTTGGAATCATTGTAGAAGGTGAAGGACAAACAGTGTGTCACATGGCAAGAGAAGGAACAAGAGAGAGAAAGAAGGTGTGAGGCTCTTTTAGGATGACAGTGCCTTACTCATTAGGCAACTGGAGCCACTCCCTGAGCCAGGCTTCTTTTTTTTTTTTTTTTTTTTCCACTTCAAGTTCTGGGATACATGTGCAGAACATGCAGGTTTGTTACATAGGCATACACGTGCCATGATGGTTTGGTGCACTCATCAAACCGTCATCTACATTAGGTATTTCTCCTAATGCTATCCCTCCCCTAGCCCCCGACCACCCAACAGTCCCTAGTGTGTAATTTTCCCCTCCCTGTGCCCATATGTTCTCATTGTTCAACTCCCACTTATAAGTGAGAACATGCGGTGTTTGGTTTTCTGTTCCTGTGTTAGTTTGCTGAGAATGATGGTTTCCAGCTTCATCCATGTGCCTGCAAAGGGCATGAACTTATCTTTTTCTATGGCTGCATAGTATTCCATGGTGTATATGTGCCACATTTTCTTGATCTAGTCTATCATTGATGGGCATTTGGGTTGGCTCCAGGTCTTTACTATTGTGAATACTGCTGGAATAAACATATGTGTGCAGGTGTCTTTATAGTAGAATAATTTATAATACTTGGGTATATACCCAGTAATGGGATTGCTGGGTCAAATGGTATTTCTGATTCTAGATCCTTGAGGAACTGCCACACTGTCTTCCACAATGGTTGAACTAATTTACACTCCCACCAACAGTGTAAAAGTGTTCTTATTTCTCCACACCCTCTCCAGCATCTATTGCTTCCTGACTTTTTTTTTTTTGAGACAGAGTCTTGCCAGGCTGGAGTGCAGTGGTGCAATCTCAACTCACTGCAACCTCTGCCTCCCGGCTTCAAGAGATTCTCCTACCTCAGCCTCCCAAGTAGCTGAGACTACAGGTGCATGCCACCATGCCAAGCTAATTTTTGTATTTTTAATAAAGATGGGGTTTCACCATGTTGGCCAGGATGGTCTCGATCTCATGACCTCATGATACCACCTCAGCCTCCCAAAGTGCTGGGATTACAGGCATAGCCACTGCACCTGGCCTTTTTCCTGATGTTTTAACGATCGCCATTCTAACTGGCGTGAGATTGTATCTCATTGTGGTTTTGATTTGCATTTTTCTAATGACCAGTGATGATGAGCTTTTTTCATATGTTTCTTGGCCACATAAATGTCTTCTTTTGAGAAGTGTCTGTTCATATCCTTTGCCCACTTTTTGATGTTTTTTTTTTTCTTGGAAATTTGTTTAAGTTCCTTGTAGATTTTGGATATTAGCCCTTTGTGAGATGGATAGATTGCAAAAGTTTTCTCCCATTCTGTAGGTTGCCTATTCACTCTGATGACAGTTTCTTTTGCTTTGCAGAAGCTCTTTAGTTTAGATCCCATTTGTCAATTTTGGCTTCTGTTGCAATTGCTTTTGGTGTTTTAGTCATGAAGTCTTTGCCCATGCCTATGTCCTGAATGGTATTACCTAGGTTTTCTTCTAGGGTTTTTATGGTTTTAAGTCTTACATTTAAGTCTTTAATCCATCTCGAGTTAATTTTTGTATAAAGTGTAAGGAAAGGGTCCAGTTTCCATTTTTTGCTTATGGCTAGCCCATTTTTCCAATATCATTTATTAAACAAAGAATCCTTTCCCCATTGCTTGTTTGTGTCAGGTTTGTCAAAGATCAGATGGTTGTAGATGTGTGGCGTTATTTCTAAGGCCTCTGTTCTGTTCCATTGGTCTATATCTTTATTTTGGTACCAGTACCTTGCTGTTTTGGTTACCGTAGCCTTGTAGTATAGTTTGAAGTCAGGTAACATGATGCCTCCAGCTTTGTTATTTTTGCTTAGGATTGTCTTGGCTATACAGGCTCTTTTTGGTTCCATACGAAATTTAAAGTATTTTCTTTCTAATTCTGTGAAGAAAGTCAGTGGTAGCTTGATGGGGATAGCGTTGAATCTATAAATTACTTTGGGCAGTTTGGCCATTTTCATGATATTGATTCTTCCTATCCACGAGAATGGAGTGCTCTTTTAAGCAACCAGATTTTATATGAACTCATAGAGTACTCATTACTCAGAGGACAGCACCAAACCATTCATAAAACCTCCCACTAGGCCTGCCTCCAATACTGGTTCTCACATCTCAACATAAAATTTGGAGGGGACAGAACATCCAGGCCATATAAAGAGTGCCAGAATTTATTTCTCCTGTCTACCTGAAACTTGCCCATTTTTAATGCAGAGTTACAGGAAAAGGATTTCTTCTTGAGTGTGACTTATTACCTGTGCCATGGGTAGCAATATATTGCCATGTAAAGAACATTTGAGACACTACTCTTTATTCTCCATGCAAATCACATTTGAAGCTATAAGACAAAAGAAAATAAAACTGTGGCCTTTTGCTTGAAAAAGTCAGCTCAAAAATAAAAATAAGAAAAGATGGTAGATAGAAAAATGAAACATAATTGAGAGTTCAGAAAAAGATCCACATAAATATAGGCAACTGATCTTTGACAAAGGAGCAAAGACAATACAACAAAACAAACATAATTCTTTCAACAAATAGTGTTAAAACAGTTAGATATCCACATGCCAAAGGGAGATAAAAATGAACGTACAAAGATGGCCAAATAGGAACAGCTCCAGTCTACAGCTCCCAGTGTGAGCGACACAGAAGATGGGTGATTTCTGCATTTCCATCTGAGGTACTGGGTTCATCTCACTAGGGAGTGCCAGACAGTGGGCGCAGGACAGTGGGTGCAGCACACCGTGTGCCAGCTGAAGCATTGCCTCACTTGGGAAGCACAAGGGGTCAGGGAGTTCCCTTTCCTGGTCAAAGAAAGGGGTGACAGATGGCACCTGGAAAATCGGGCCACTCCCACCCGAATACTGTGCTTTTCCGATGGGCTTAGGAAACGGCGCACCAGGAGATTATATCCCGCACCTGGCTCAGAGGGTCCTACGCCCATGGAGTCTTGCTGATTGCTAGCACAGCAGTTTGAGATCAAACTGCAAGGTGGCAGCGAGGCTGGGGGAGGGGCGCCTGCCATTGCCCAGGCTCCCTTAGGTAAACAAAGCAGCCTGGAAGCTCAAACTGGGTGGAGCCCACCACAGCTCAAGGAGGCCTGCCTGCCTCTGTAGGTTCCACCTCTGGGGGCAGGGCACAGACAAACAAAAAGACAGCAGTAACCTCTGCAGACTTAAATGTCCCTGTCTGACAGCTTTGAGGAGAGCAGTGGTTCTCCCAGCAGGCAGCTGGAGATCTGAGAATGGGCAGACTGCCTCCTCAAGTGGGTCCCTGACCCCTGACACCCTAGCAGCCTAACTGGGAGGCACCCCCTAGAAGGGGCAGACTGACACCTCACACGGCTGGGTACTCCTCTGAGACAAAACTTCCAGAGGAATGATGAGACAGCAGTATTCGTGGATCATGAAAATCCGTGGTTCTGCAGACACCGCTGCTGGTACCCAGGCAAACAGGGTCTGGAGTGGACCTCTAGCAAACTCCAACAGACCTGCAGCTGAGGGTCCTGTCTGTTAGAAGGAAAACTAACAAACAGAAAGGACATCCACACCAAAAACCCATCTGTACATCACCATCATCAAAGACCAAAAGTAGATAAAACCACAAAGATGGGGAATAAACGGAGCAGAAAAACTGGAAACTCTAAAAAGCAGAGCGCCTCTTCTCCTCCAAAGGAACGCAGTTCCTCACCAGCAACAGAACAAAGCTGGACAGAGAATGACTTTGACAAGTTGAGAGAAGAAGGCTTCAGACGATCAAACTACTCCGAGCTACAGGAGGAAATTCAAACCAAAGGCAAAGAAGTTGAAAACTTTGAAAAAAATTTAGACGAATGTATAACTAGAATAACCAATAAAGAGAAGTGCTTAAAGGAGCTGATGGAGCTGAAAACCAAGGCTCGAGAACTACGTGAAGAATGCAGAAGCCTCTGGAACTGATGCAATCAACTGGAAGAAAGGGTATCAGTGATGGAAGATGGAATCAATGAAATGAAGCGAGACGGGAAGTTTTGAGAAAAAAGAATAAAAAGAAACGAACAAAGCCTCCAAGAAATATGGGACTATGTGAAAAGACCAAATCTGTGTCTGATTGGTGTACCTGAAAGTGACGGGGAGAATGGAACCAAGTTGGAAAACACTCTGCAGGATACTATCCAGGAGAACTTCCCAAATCTAGCAAGGCAGGCCAACATTCAGATTCAGGAAATACAGAGAACACCACAAAGATACTCCTCGAGAAGAGCAACTCCAAGACACATAATTGTCAGATTCACCAAAGCTGAAAAGAAGGAAAAAATGTTAAGGGCAGCCAGAGAGAAAGGTCGGGTTACCCACAAAGGGAAGCCCATCACACTAACAGCGGATCTCTCGGCAGAAACTCTACAAGCCAGAAGGGAGTGGGGGCCAATATTCAACATTCTTAAAGAAAAGAATTTTCAACCCAGAATTTCATATCTAGCCAAACTAAGCTTCATAAGTGAAGGAGAAATAAAATACTTTACATACAAGCAAATGCTGAGAGATTTTGTCACCACCAGGCCTGCCCTAATAGAGCTCCTGAAGGAAGCACTAAACATGGAAAGGCACAACTAGTACCAGCCGCTGCAAAATCATGCCAAAATGTAAAGACCATCGAGATTAGGAAGAAACTGCATCAACTAACGAGCAAAATACCTAGCTAACATCATAATGAAAGGATCAAATTCACACATAACAATATTAACTTTAAATGTAAATGGACTAAATGCTCCAATTAAAAGACACAGACTGGCAAATTGGATAAAGAGTCAAGACCCATCAGTGTGCTGTATTCAGGAAACCCATCTCACATGCAGAGACACACATAGGCTCAAAATAAAAGGATGGAGGAAGATCTACCAAGCAAATGGAAAACAAAAAAAGGCAGGGGTTGCAATCCTAGTCTCTGACAAAACAGACTTTAAACCAACAAAGATCAAAAGAGACAAAGAAGGCCATTACATAATGGTAAAGGGATCAATTCAACAACAAGAGCTAACTATCCTAAATATATATGCACCCAATACAGGAGCACCCAGATTCATAAAGCAAGTCCTGAGTGACCTACAAAGAGACTTAGACTCCCACACAATAATAATGGGAGACTTTAACACCCCACTGTCAACATTAGACAGATCAACGAGACAGAAAGTTAACAAGGATACCCAGGAATTGAACTCAGCTCTGCACCAAGCGGACCTAATAGACATCTACAGAACTCTTCACCACAAATCAACAGAATATACATTTTTTTCAGCACCACACCACACCTATTCCAAAATTGACCACATAGTTGGAAGTAAACCTCTCCTCAGCAAATGTAAAAGAACAGACATTATAACAAACTGTCTCTCAGACCACAGTGCAATCAAACTAGAACTCAGGATTAAGAAACTCACTCAAAACCACTCAACTACATGGAAACTGAACAACCTGCTCCTGAATGACTACTGGGTACATAACGAAATGAAGGCAGAAATAAAGATGTTCTTTGAAACCAACGAGAACAAAGACACAACATACCAGAATCTCTGGGACACATTCAAAGCAGTGTGTAGAGGGAAATTTATAGCACTAAATGCCCACAAGAGAAAGCAGGAAAGATCCAAAATTGACACCCTAACATCACAATTAAAAGAACTAGAGAAGCAAGAGCAAACACATTCAAAAGCGAGCAGAAGGCAAGAAATAACTAAAATCAGAGCAGAACTGAAGGAAATAGAGACACAAAAACCCTTCAAAAAATTAATGAATCCAGGAGCTGGTTTTTTGAAAGGATCCACAAAATTGATAGACCGCTAGCAAGACTACTAAAGAAAAAAAGAGAGAAGAATCAAATAGATGCAATAAAAAATGATAAAGGGGATATCACCACTGATCCCACAGAAATACAAACTACCATCAGAGAATACTACAAACACCTCTACGCAAATAAACTAGAAAATCTAGAAGAAATGGATAAATTCCTCGACACATACACTCTTCCAAGACTAAAACAGGAAGAAGTTCAATCTCTGAATAGACCAATAACAGGCTCTGAAATTATGGCAATAATCAATAGCTTACCAACCAAAAAGAGTCCAGGACCAGATGGATTCACAGCCGAATTCTACCAGAGGTACAAAGAGGAGCTGGTACCATTCCTTCTGAAACTATTCCACTCAATAGAAAAAGAGGGAATCCTCCCTAACTCATCTTATGAGGCCAGCATCATCCTGATACCAAAGCTGGGCTGAGACACAACCAAAAAGGAGAATTTTAGACCAACATCCTTGATGAACAATGATGCAAAAATCCTCAATAAAATACTGGCCAACTGAATCCAGCAGCACATCAAAAAGCTTATCCACAATGATCAAGTGGGCTTCATCCCTGGGATGCAAGGCTGGTTCAATATACACAAATCAATAAATGTAATGCAGCATATAAACAGAACCAAAGACAAAAACCACATGATTATCTCAATAGATGCAGAAAAGGCCTTTGACAAAATGCAATAGCCCTTCATGATAAAAACTCTCAATAAATTAGGTATTGATGGGACGTATCTCAAAATAACAAGAGCTATCTATGACAAACCCACAGCCAATATCATACTGAATGGGCAAAAACTGGAAGCATTCCCTTTGAAAACTGGCACAAGACAGGGATGCCCTCTCTCACCACTCCTATTCAACATAGTGTTGGAAGTTCTGGCCAGGGCAATTAGGCAGGAGAAGGAAAGAAAGGGTATTCAATTCGGAAAAGAGGAAGTCATATTGTCCCTGTTTGCAGATGACATGATTGTATATTTAGAAAACCCCATCGTCACAGCCCAAAATCTTCTTAAGCTGATAGGCAACTTCAGCAAAGTCTCAAGATACAAAATCACTGTGCAAAAATCACAAGCATTCCTATACACCAATAACAGACAAACAGAGAGCCAAATCATGAGTGAACTCCTAATCACAATTGCTTCAAAGACAATAAAATATCTAGGAATCCAACTTACAAGGGATGTGAAGGACCTCTTCAAGGAGAACTACAAACCACTGCTCAACGAAATAAAAGAGGACACAAACAAATGGAAGAACATTCCATGCTCATGGATAGGAAGAATCAATATTGTGAAAATGGCCAGACCGCCCAAGGTAATTTATAGATTCAATGCCATCCCCATCAAGCTACCAATGACTTTCTTCACAGAATTGGAAAAAACTACTTTAAAGTTCATATGGAATCAAAAAAGAGCCCACATCGCCAAGTCAATCCTAAGCCAAAAGAACAAAGCTGGCGGCATCACACTACCTGACTTAAAACTATACTACAAGGCTACAGTAACCAAAACAGCATGGTACTGGTACCAAAACAGAGATATAGATCAATGGAACAGAACAGAGCCCTCAGAAATAATGCGGCATATCTACAACCATCTGATCTTTGACAAACCTGAGAAAAACAAGAAATGGGGAAAGGTTTCCCTATTTAATAAATGGTGCTGGGAAAACTGGCTAGCCATATGTAGAAAGCTGAAACTGGTTCCCTTCCTTACACCTTATACAAAAATTAATTCAAGATGGATTAAAGACTTAAACGTTAAACCTAAAACCATAAAAACCCTAGAAGAAAACCTAGGCATTACCATTCAGGACATAGGCATGGGCAAGGACTTCATAACTAAAACACCAAAAGCAATGGCAACAAAAGCCAAAATTGACAAATGGGATCTAATTAAACTAAAGAGCTTCTGCACAGCAAAAGAAACTACCATCAGAGTGAACAGGCACCCTACAAAATGGGAGAAATTTTTGACAACCTACTCATCTGACAAAGGGCTAATATCCAGAATCTACAATGAACTTAAACAAATTTACAAGAAAAAAAACAAACAACCCCATCCAAAAGTGGTCAAAGGATATGAACAGACACTTCTCAAAAGAAGACATTTATGCAGCCAAAAGACACATGAAAAAATGCTCGTCATCACTGGCCATCAGAGAAATGCAAATCAAAACCACAACGAGATACCATCTCACACCAGTTAGAATGGCAATCATTAAAAAGTCAGGAAACAACAGGTGCTGGAGAGGATGTGGAGAAATAGGAACACTTTTACACTGTTGGTGGGACTGTAAACTAGTTCAACCATTGTGGAAGTCAGTGTGGTGATTCCTCAGGGATCTAGAACTAGAAATACCATTTGACCCAGCCATCCCATTACTGGGTATATACCCAAAGGACTATAAATCATGCTGCTATAAAGACACATGCACACGTATGTTTATTGCGGCACTATTCACAATAGCAAAGACTTAGAACCAACCCAAATGTCCAACAATGATAGACTGGATTAAGAAAATGTGGCACATATACACCATGGAATAGTATGCAGCCATAAAAAATGATGAGGTTCATACCCTTTGTAGGGACATGGATGAAATTGGAAATGATCATTCTCAGTAAACTATCGCAAGGACAAAAAACCAAACACCACATGTTCTCACTCATAGATGGGAATTGAACAATGAGAACACATGGACACAGGAAGGGGAACATCACACTCTGTGGACTGTTGTGGGGTGGGGGGAGGGGGGAGCGATAGCATTAGGAGATATACCTAATGCTAAATGACGAGTTAATGGGTGCAGCACACCAGCATGGCACATGTATACATATGTAACTAACCTGTACATTGTGCACATGTACCCTAAAACTTAAAGTATAAAAAAAAAAATGAGCGTACATACAGACCTTATACTCTTGACAAAAGTTAACTCAAAATGGATCATAAACTGAAAATATAAAACACAAAACTAGACAACCTTGGCATAGTGATGACTTTTTAGACACAATACCAAAGGCAAGACCTATAAAAGAAATAATAGATAAGCTTGATTTCATTAAAAGTAAAAACTTCTTCTGTATGAGTGACAATGCCAAGAAAATGAAAAGACAAGCCACAGATTGAGAGAAAATATTTGGTAAAGATGCATCTGATAAAGGTCTGTTGATATGGTTTGGCTATCAAACCACCCAAATGAACTATAGCTTCCAAAATTCTCACCTATTGTGGGAGGGACCTGGTGAAAGGTAATTGAATCATTGGTGTGGTCTTTCCCATGCTGTTCTTATGACAGTGAATAAGTCTCACGAAAGCTAATGGTTTTATAAAGGGGAGTTTTCCTGCACAAGCGCTCTTCTCTTGTCTGCTGTCATGTGAGACACACATTTCACCTTCCGCCATGACTGTGAGACCTCCCCAACTACGTGGAACTGTGAGTCCATAAAACCTTTGTTTCCTCATAAATTACCCAGCCTTGGGTATCTCCTTATCAGAAGCATAAGAGCAGACTAATACAACTGTTATTCAAAATATATAGAAAACTCTTAAAACTCAATAATAAGAGAAAAAAACCTGATTAAAAAATGGACCAAAGACATTAACAGACACCTGACCAAAGAAGATATACAGATGACAAATATGCATATGAAAAGATGCTTTACCTCATGTATCATCAGGGACATACAAATAAAAACAACATTGAGGTACTACCACATACAAATTAAAATGGCTGAAATCCAAAACATTGACAACACCAATTGCTGGTGAGGATGTGGAGCAACAGGGATTCTCATTCATTGCTGGTAGGAATGCAAAATGATACAGTTACTTTGTTATTTATTGTTGTTGTTGTTTTTGCTGCTGCTGCTGCTGCTGTTTCAATGTAATAAAAATTAAATTTGTTATTTTATTTTTTTAATTGGCTTTTAAAATAATTTCAGCTTTTAGATTCAGGAGGTACATGCATGTAAAGGTTTGTTTTGTGAGTATATTGTGTGATGCTGATGTTAGAAATATGAATGACCCCATCACCCAGAAAGTGAACATAGCACTCAGCAGTTTTTCAACCCTTGACTGGCTCCTTCCCCTCCCCCTTCTAGTAGTCCCTAGTGTCTATTTTTGATATATTCATGTCTGTAATTACCCAATATCTACCTTCCAGTTATAAATAAAAGCATGCATTATTGGTTTTTCTCTTTCTGCATTAATTTGCCCAGGATAATGGTTTCCAGCTGCATCCATGTTGCTGCAAAGAAACATGATTTCATCATTTTTTATGGCTGCATAGTATTCCAAGCTATATATGTACCACATTATCTTTATCCAACCCACAATTGAGGGGCACCATCAGGTTGATTCCATGTCTTCGCTATCATGAATAGCACTGTGATGAACATAAAAGTTCAGGTATACTTTTAGTAGAATAATTTATTTTCTTTCAGATATCTACCCAATGGGATTGCTGGGTCAAATGGTAGTTCTGTTTTCAGTTCTTTGAGAAATATCCAAACTGCTTTCTACAGTGGCTGAACTAATTTAAATTCTCACCAACAGTGTAAGCATTCTCTTTTCTCCATGGTCTTGCCAGCATCTGTTGGTTTTTGACATTTTAATAACAGCTATTCTGACTGGTGTGAGATGGTATCTCATTGTGGTTTTGGTTTGCATTTCTCTGATGATTAATGACGTTGAGAATTTTTTCATATGCTTTTGGCCACTCGTATGTTTTCTTTTAAGAAGTGTCTGTTCATGTCTTTTGCCGCCTTTTTAATGGGGTTGTTTTTATTGTTGTTGTTTGTTTATTTACTGTTGAATTGTTTTAAGTTCCTTATAGATTCTGATAGATCATTTTCAGATGCAAAGATTCTGTTGGTAGTTTTTTGTTGTTGTTGTTTTGGTTTTTTTCTGTGTAGAAGTCTTTAAATTTAATTAGGTCCTACTTAGTTTCTGTTTTTGTTTTAATTACTTTTGAGGACTTAGTCATAAATTATTTCCCATGGCCTATGTCCAGAATGCTGTTTCCTAGGTTTTCTTCTAGGATTCTTATAGTTTGAGGTCTTACATTTAAATCTTTAATCCATTTTGAGTTAATTTTGTTTCCGATTAGGAGTAGGGGGTCTACTTTCATTCTCTTGCATATGGCTAACAAGCTATAACAGCATCATTTATTGCATAGGGAATTCTTTCTTCATTGCTTAAACTTGTTGACTTTGTTGAAGATCATATGGGTGTAGATGTGCAGTATTATTTCTGGGTTTTCTATTTTCTTTATTATACTTTAAGATCTAGGGTACATGTGCACAACATGCAGATTTGTTACATATGTATACATGTGCCATGTTGGTGTGCTGCACCCATTAACTCATCATTCACATTAGGTAGGTGTTTGGTTTTCTGTCCTTGCAATAGTTTGCTCAGAATGATGGTTTCCAGTATCATCCATGTCCCTATAAAAGACATGAACTCATCCTTTTTTATGGCTGCATACTATTCCATGGTGTATATGTGCCACATTTTCTTAATCCAGTCTATCATTGATGGACATTTGGGTTGGTTCCAAGTCTTTGCTATTGTGAATAGTGCCAAAATAAACATATGTGTGCATGTGTCTTTATAGCAGCATGATTTATAATCCTTTGGGTATATACCCAGTAATGGGATGGCTGGGTCAAATGGTATTTCTAGTTCTAGATCCTTAAGGAATCACCATACTGACTTCCACAATGGTTGAACTAGTTTACAGTCCCACCAACAGTGTAAAAGTGTTCCTATTTCTCCACATCCTCTCCAGCACCTGTTGTTTCCTTACTTTTTAATGATTACCATTCTAACTGGTGTGAGATGGTATCTCATTGTAGTTTTGATTTGCATTTCTCTGATGGCCAGTGATGACGAGCATTTTTTCATGTGTCTTTTGGCTGCATAAATGTCTTCTTTTGAGAAGTGTCTGTTCATATCCTTTGTGCACTTTTTGATGGGGTTGTTTGATTTTTTCTTGTAAATTTGTTTAAGTTCTTTGTAGATTCCGGATATTAGCCCTTTGTCAGATGGGTAGATTGCAAAAATTTTCTCCCATTCTGTAGGTTGCCTGTTCAATCTGATGGTAGTTTCTTTTGCTGTGCAGAAGCTTTTTGTTTTAATTAGATCCCATTTGTCAATTTTGGCTTTTGTTGCCATTGCTTTTGGTGTTTTAGACACGAAGTCCTTGCCCATGCCTATGTCCTGAATGGTATTGTCTAGGTTTTCTTCTAGGGTTTTATGGTTTTAGGTCTAACGTTTAAGTTTTTAATCCATCTTGAATTAATTTTTGTATAAGGTGTAAGGAAGGGAACCAGTTTCAGCTTTCTACATATGGCTAGCCAGTTTTCCCAGCATCATCTATTAAATAGGGAATCATTTCCCCATTTCTTGTTTTTCTCAGGATTGTCAAAGATCAGATGGTTGTAGATGTGTGGTATTATTTCTGAGGGTTCTGTTCGGTTACATTGGTCTGTATCTCTGTTGTGGTACTGGTACCATGCTGTTTTGGTTACTATAGCATTGTAGTATAGTTTTAAGTCAGGTAGCGTGATGTCTCCAGCTTTGTTCTTTTGGCTTAGGATTGTCTTGGCAATGTGGGCTCTTTTTTGGTTCCATATGAACTTTAAAGTAGTTTTTTCCAATTCTGTGAAGAAAGTCATTGGTAGCTTGATGGGGATGGCATTGAATCTATAAATTACCTTGGGCGGTCTGGCCATTTTCACAATATTGATTCTTCCTATCCATGAGCATGGAATGTTCTTCCATTTGTTTGTGTCCTCTTTTATTTCGTTGAGCAGTGGTTTGTAGTTCTCCTTGAAGAGGTCCTTCACATCCCTTGTAAGTTGGATTCCTAGATATTTTATTGTCTTTGAAGCAATTGTGATTAGGAGTTCACTCATGATTTGGCTCTCTGTTTGTCTGTTATTGGTGTATAGGAATGCTTGTGATTTTTGCACAGTGATTTTGTATCTTGAGACTTTGAAGTTGCCTATCAGCTTAAGAAGATTTTGGGCTGTGACGATGGGGTTTTCTAAATATACAATCATGTCATCTGCAAACAGGGACAATTTGACTTCCTCTTTTCCGAATTGAATACCCTTTCTTTCCTTCTCCTGCCTAATTGCCCTGGCCAGAACTTCCAACACTATGTTGAATAGGAGTGGTGAGAGAGGGCATCCCTGTCTTGTGCCAGTTTTCAAAGGGAATGCTTCCAGTTTTTGCCCATTCAGTATGATATTGGCTGTGGGTTTGTCACAGATAGCTCTTATTATTTTGAGATACATCCCATCAATATCTAATTTATTGAGAGTTTTTATCATGAAGGGCTATTGCATTTTGTCATAGGCCTTTTCTGCATCTATTGAGATAATCATGTGGTTTCTGTCTTTGGTTCTGTTTATATGCTAGATTACGTTTATTGATTTGCATAGGTTGAACCAGCCTTGCATCCCAGGGATGAAGCCCACTTGATCATTGTGGATAAGCTTTTTGATGTGCTGCTGGATTCAGTTTGCCAGTATTTTACTGAGGATATTTGCATTGACGTTCATCAAGGATATTGGTCTAAAATTCTCTTTTTTTGCTGTGTCTCTGTCAGGCTTTGGTATCAGGATGATGCTGGCCTCATAAAATGAGTTAGGGATGATTCCCTCTTTTTCTATTGATTGGAATAGTTTCAGAAGGAATGGTACCAGCTCCTCTTTGTACCTCTGGTAGAATTCGGCTGTGAATCCATCTGGTCTTGGACTTTTTTTGGTTGGTAGGCTCTTAATTATTGCCTCAATTTCAGAGCCTGTTATTGGTCTATTCAGGGATTCCACTTCTTCCTGTTTTAGTCTTGGGAGAGTGTGTTGAGGAATTTATCCATTTCTTCTAGATTTTCTAGATTATTTGCGTAGAGTTGTTTATAGTATTCTCTGATGGCAGTTTGTATCTCTGTGGGATCAGTGGTGATATCCCCTTTATCATTTTTTATTGCATCTATTTGATTCTTCTCTTTTTTCTCCTTTATTAGTCTTGCTAGCGGTCTATCAATTTTGTGGATCCTTTCAAAAAACCAGCTCCTGGATTCATTGATTTTTTGAAGGGTTTTTTGTGTCTCTATCTCCTTCAGTTCTGCTCTGACCTTAGTTATTTCTTGCCTTCTGCTAGCTTTTGAATGTGTTTGCTCTTGCTTCTCTAGTTCTTTTAATTGTGATGTCTGGGTGTCAATTTTAGATCTTTTCTGCTTTCTCCTATGGGCATTTACTGCTATAAATTTCCCTCTACACACTGCTTTAAATGTGTCTCAGAGATTCTGATATGTTGTGTCTTTGTTCTCATTGGTTTCAAACAACATCTCTATTTCTGCCTTCATTTCGTTATGTACCCAGTAGTTATTCAGGAGCAGGTTGTTCGGTTTCCATGTAGTTGAATGGTTTTGAGTGAGTTTCTTAATCCTGAGTTCTAATTTGATTGCACTGTGGTCTGAGAGACAGGTTGTTATAATTTCCATTCTTTTACATTTGCTGAGGAGTGCTTTATTTCCAACTATGTGTTCAATTGTGGAATAAGTGAAACGTGGTGCTGAGAAGAATGTATATTCTGTTGATTTGGGGTGGAGAGTTCTGTAAATGTCTATTAGGTCTGCCTGATGCAGAGCTGAGTTCAATTCCTGGATATCCTTCTAACTTTCTGTCTCATGGATCTGTCTAATGTTGGCAGTGGGGTGTTAAAGTCCCCATTATTATTGTGTGGGAGTCTAAGTCTCTTTGTAGGTTTCTAAGGACTTGCTTTATGAATCTGGGTGCCCCTGTATTAGGTGCATATATATTTAGGATTGTCAGCTCTTCTTGTTGAATTGATCCCTTTACCATTATGTAATGGCCTCCTTTGTCTCTTTTGATCTTTGTTGGTTTAAAATCTGTTTTATCAGAGACAAGGATTGCAACCCCTGCTTTTGTTTTGTTTTCCATTAGCTTGGTAGATCTTCCTCCATCCCTTTATGTTAAGCCTATGTGTGTCTCTGCATGTGAGATGGGTCTCCTGAATACAGCACACTGATGGGTCTTGACTCTTTATCCAATTTGCCAGTCTGTGTCTTTTAATTGGAGCATTTAGTCCATTTACATTTAAGGTTAATATTGTTATGTGTGAATTTGATCCTGTCATTATGACTTGGTTGGTTATTTTTCCCATTAATTCATGCAGTTTCTTCCTAGCATTGATGATCTTTACAATTTGGCATGTTTTTGCAGTGGGTGGTACCAGTTGTTCCTTTCCATGTTTAGTACTTCCTTCAGGAGCTCTTATAAGGCAGGCCTGGTGGTGACAAAATCTCTCAGCATTTGCTTGTCTGTAAAGTATTTTTTTTCTCCTTCACTGATGAAGCTTGGTTTGGCTGGATGTGAAATTCTGGGTTGAAAATTCTTTTCTTTAAGAATGTTGAATATTCGCCCCCACTCTCTTCTGGCTTGTAGAGTTTCTGCCAAGAGATTCACTGTTAGTCTGATGGGCTTCCCTTTGTGGGTAAACCAACCTTTCTTTCTGGCTGCCCTTAACATTTTTTTTCCTTTATTTCAACTTTAGTGAATCTGACAACTATGCGTCTTGGAGCTGCTCTTCTGGAGGAGTATCTTTGTGGCATTCTCTGTATTTCCTGAATCTGAATGTTGGCCTGCCTTGCTAGGTTGAGGAAGTTCTCCTGGATAATATCCTGAAGAGTGTTTTCCAGCTTGGTTCCATTCTCCCTGTCACTTTCAGGTACACCAATCAGACGTAGATTTGGTCTTTTCACATAGCCCCATATTTCTTGGAGGCTTTGTTCATTTCTTTTTACTCTTTTTTCTCTAAACTTCTCTTCTTGCTTCATTTCATTCATTTGATCTTCAGTCACTGATACCCTTTCTTCCAGTTGATCGAATTGGCTACTGAAGCTTGTGCATGCATCACGTAGTTCTCATGCCATGGTTTTCAGCTCCATCAGGTCATTTAAGGTCTTCTCTACACTGTTTATTCTAGTTAGCCATTCGTCCAGTCTTTTTTCAAGGTTTTTAGCTTCTTTGCCATGGGTTCGAACATCCTCCTTTAGCTCAGAGAAGTTTGTTATTACTGATCTTCTGAAGCCTTCTTCTCTCAACTCGTCAAAGTCATTCTCTGTCCAGGTTTTTTCTGTTGCTGATGAGGAGCTGCATTCCTTTGGAAGATAAGAGGCACTCTGATTTTTAGAATTTTCAGCTTTTCTGTTCTGGTTTCCCCCCATCTTTGTGGTTTTATCTAAGTTTGGTCTTTGATGATGGTGATGTACAGATGGGGTTTTGGTGTGGATGTCCTTTCTGTTTGTTCGTTTTCCTTCTAACAGTCACAACCCTCAGCTGCAGGTCTGTGGAGTTTGCTGGGGGTCCACTCCAGATCCTGTTTGCCTGGGTATCACCAGTGGAGGCTGCAGAATCGCAAATATTGCAGAATGGCAAATGTTGCTGCCTTATCATTCCTCTGGAAGCTTCGTATCAGAGGGGTGCCTGGCTGTCAGAGGTGTCAGTCTGACCCTACTGGGGGGTGCCTCCCAGTTAGGCTACTCAGGGGTCAGGGACCAACTTGAGGAGGCAATCTGTCTGTTCTGAGATCTCAAACTCTGTGCTGGGAGAACCACTAGTCTCTTCAAAGCTGTCAGACAGGGACATTTAAGTCTGCAGAATTTTCTGCTGCCTTTTGTTCAGCTACGCCCTGCCCCCAGAGGTGGAGTCTACAGAGGCAGGCAGGCCTCCTTGAGCTGTGGTGGGGCTCAAACTCCATCCAGTTTGAGCTTCCCAGCCTCTTTGTTTACCTACTCAAGTCTCAGCAATGGTGGGCCCCCCTCCCCCCACCTTGCAGCCACCTTGCAGTTCAATCTCAGACTGCTGTGCTAGCAGTGACCAAGACTCTGTGGGCATGGGACCCTCCAAGCCAGGCGTGGGATATAATCTCCTGGTGTGACATTTGCTAAGACCATTGGAAAAGCGCAGTATTAGGGTAGGAGTGACCTGATTTTCCAGGTGCCCTCTGTCATGCCTTCCCTTGGCTAGGAAAGGGAATTCCCCGACCCCTTCCACTTCCCGGGTGAGGCAGTGCCTCACCCTGCTTCTGCTCATGGTCTGTGGGCTGCACCCACTGTCCTGCACCCCCTGTTTGACAAGCCCCAGTGAGATGAACCTGGTACCTCAGTTGGAAATGCAGAAATCACTCATCTTCTGCATCACTCACACTGGGAGCTGTAGACTGGAGCTGTTCCTATTTGGCCATCTTGGAACCCTTCAGTATATGCATTCTTTTGCACAGCTGTTGAAAACTTAGGTAATGAAGAAGGTTGAGGCCTTCGGACTTCTCTGGGGCCAGCAGTCACCCAACCAGGGACCTGGGGTCAGCAGCCACCCAACCAGGGACCCAGGGCTGTGGGCTCAGCTGACTACCCTGGGCTCTGTGTCCAACCAGCAGTCAGCAGGTGGCTGTGCCAAGGTGGCAGAGCTGGGTTTTCTATTTTGTTCCATTGGTCTATGTGTCTGTTTTGGTACCAGTACCATGGTGTTTTGGTTACTGTAGCCTTATAGTATAGTTTGAAATCAAATAATGTAATGATTCTGGCCTTGTTCTTTTTGCTGAGGATTACTTTGGCTATTCAGGCTCTTTCTTCATTCCATATAAATTTTAGAACAGTTTTTTCTAATTCTTATACAACTACTTTGGAAGACAGTTTGATAGCTTCTTACAAACTCTTATCATATGATCCAAGATATTTATAGCAGCTTTATTCATAATTGTCAAAACTTGGAAGCAACTAAGATGTCCCTCAGTAGGTGAATGGTTAAATAAATTGTGGCACCTACAGACAAGGGAATATTATACAGCAATAAAAAGAAATAAGTTATCAAGCTAACATATTGGAGAAGTATATAAGAAGAAACGTGTATATTACTTGGTGAAAGAAGCCAATCTGACAAAGCTACATATTATATGATTCCAACCATATGATATCATGGAAAAGGCAAAACTATGGGACAGTAAAACGATCAGTGATTTCCAGAGGCTGGGGTAAGAGATGGGGGCATGAATAGGCAGAACACAGAGGATTTTTAGGGCAGTGAAAATAGTTGATATGATACTAAAATAATGGATACATATTATTATATATTTTTTCAAATTCATAGAATTTACAGCACCAAGAGACAATATTAATCTATCATGTGGACTTTGGGTGATTATTATGTGTTAATGTAGGTTCATTAATTGTAACAAATGTACCGTACTTGTGGTCAATATTGATCCTGGTAGAGGGTATACATGTGTTGGGGCAGTGAGTATATACAAAATCTCTGTACCTTTTTTATAGGTTTTCTGTAAACCTAAAACTGCTCTAAAAAATAAAGTCTTATAAACAGGTATTAGACACAATCACTGAGGGTTTTATTAAGGAAAATAAAATAATATGAAGCAATTATCTCACTGTTCATGACTCAAGTGTCAAAGCACACTCCTAAGAGACTAAAACTGATACTCGAGTTGTAAGTAACAACAAGTGGTGATATTTTTCTTACCTTGTGTGGTCCCTAATATTAAACTGTGGTTTTGAAGATGAATGTGGAAACTAATGTTTGCCTTGCTTCTCTTAAAACTCACTTATCTATACCTTTCCATTTACACTACCAGTTTGTCTCTGGTTCTCCCTTAACAGAAGATAAGCTATTTTATTAACTATTTTACTAGTCCTTTTGGGGTAGTTTCATTTTTTGCTTAGGTATTGAAACTGAAATTATTTTAAAAACATAGGAATGCATTTTTTAAATAGTGTGGTAGGGTTCAGTAATTTGATAAGAAGTCATCTTAACATTAGCACTCTTTAGGACGGCCATGTGCGGTTTCACATTTTACCATATTAGAAGATATCATTAAGGTATGCAATAATATGAAAGACATAAAGTTCCTAAAGTCTACAATCTGCAATACTGTGGACTCTGGCTCTGGGTGACAGCATGGACAAGAAATAAGAAGCTTGTGTTTCAATGTTTCAAAATGTAGGATCCTAAATATCTTTAATACACATATGATCTATGAGAGTATTGATATTTTAGAGTACTGATGATTGTGTTTTAATATCAAAGGGAAGTACAAACCTGAACAGATGGGTATCTCCCTGAAATAGTTAGCATTCATAAAGAAAGAATACTGTAGAACTCTTGTTTGCTCCAAACTAGGTATCTCAATTTGTTTCTGACACTGAGTCAGATTAGAGAAATGAAAACAGAAATACATTTATTCTCCTCACACAGGACAAAACTAGCCACTACAGAAAATGTTCATAACTATTTTCATTCCCAGGAGCTCCATGATAGGATGTTCCTCTCACTGAATGTGTGGAGCACCATCTGATTGGTCAGGTATATTGTCTCAAATACCAGTTTGGGTCTTTGACTCCTTTGACTGTCTTGCTGATCACAGGGACTCAAATATTACTGAATCTCTCATTATCAGTAAGGCAATCAAAGGAGTCAGAAATCCAAACTGGTACTTATTAAAATAAAAATATAACATTGTATTTTTAAATTGTTTAATATTACTAAAGAAAATTTAAACTACTTTTCCCATCACTTTAAATTCTCTGTTATTATATGCTCCTAATGGCCAATTCATAAATTAAATAAACCAATAGCTTTTAAGCCCCAATTCAGAACACTTTTTAATTGAAATTGCAAGCCCTTGTTGATAATTCAAAACCATCTTCCTTTTTTTGAAGGAAAAAAATATGATTTTCTCTCAAAAAGATATCTCCTTCTGCATGCTTCCATCATTCTTTGTAAGTATCTTTTTAGCTATGGCTCACTCAAGTTTACTTATAAACCAGTCCTTAAGGATTTCAGTTCAAGATGGCTAACTAGAGACATCATATGCCAGCCCTCTCAAGACAGAAAAGCCAAAATTATGAACAGACAATTATAGCTTAAATAGAACATCTAGGATAAAACACTAAAGTCTAATAAAGAACTCATAAAAGATACCCAAGGCACAGAAGAAGAAAGCCAATGGCCAGCTTGGCTGAGATTAACCAGGATCCCAGAGGAGCTCAGAATTGCAGGGAAAGGATGAGTAAAAGAGATGTAGTGATCGATATGCCTACTGTGAGCTGCTGTGATCCAGACTGCAGAAGAGCTCTTCTACGTATATGAATGCTGACACTAACGTGAGTAGTGATATGGAGACGCTGAAAGCATTGCATCAGACAGAGAACTCACACTGGGTCACTCACCTCCTCCAAGACCTGAATGGCTACAGAAGCATTCCATTTTGGGAGTGCAACAATCGTGGGACTGCATCCTGCCCTGGGAACAACAGGCTCCACATCTCTACATCCCAGAAGTTCCTGCTGACATTCCCTTGCATAGACTCAGAGGGCTGCAGTAGCACAGCACTAGCTGGACCCAAAGATGCTGCAAAGTCCCCAGCTCTATCCCATAGGTAGTGCTACTCCTCAGGAAAAGGGCAGTACAGCATTCAAAAGGCCAGCTCCTAGGACAAAGGAATCATAAGTACACACTTTTAAAAGCCCAAGAACTTCCTATCTGGGGCTATGAGAAGCGACTCTGGCCCTGTCATTGGAACAAACCCTGTGCTTAGTTTTGTAAGTGAAGAGTGAAATGCCCTCCCACTAGCAGAGCAGCATCTGTGCTTGAGCTGTGACATAGAGAACAGGAATCCTCCTCCGCCTCTGCACACCTTCTCTTGCTGCCACTGGAGGCCAGGTTGGGTGAGCCAAAGGGCTGACTGACTGGAGCAGTAAGTGGTGACTGCAATCCCATTGATGGTGTGGACTCTGTGCCTGAACTTTTGTGTATAAAGCGGGGCACCTCACCCCTCTGTGTGGTACTTTGGTGCTGCTGCCTCAGAGAGTAGGAAAGACTGAAAACGGCGTGGTTGAAACTTTTGGAGCTGAGTCTGTAAGGCAGTCATCAACAACACCAGCCCACACCAACTGGATCAACAGGGTAGTCACACCACAGCTACCACCATTGCCCATACCACACCAGCTGACCAGGGACCCGAGAGCCTGCTCACTTGCCCTATCCACTGCTGCTACTACTTGCAGATGAGCAATCCATGTGGAAGCCCAAGAATCAGACTGCCACTAATCACTGACATAGGGGCTAGTGTACACTACCCTAGGGCATAAAAACATAGTATGCTCAGCCCACTGCTGCCATCACTGAAGCCTGAAGACTGGCCCACTTTCCAAGTCCCCAGTATAACTTCTACACCTCCTTTACTGATACCTACACCTTAATGCGCCAAGGAAATCACAGGAAGCACTGATGTTGCTTACAACCAAAGAAACCATATAGAGATGAAACTACTGGATGCACCCAGAATCAAAGCCAACGTGCTCTACCAACTAACACCACACATGTGTCTTTTAAAAGTTTTTTCCCTTACAAAAGTGAAATGAAAGGCCAGGGCTGGGCATGCTGGGTCACTCCTGTAATTCCAGCACTTTGGGAGGTCAAGACAGGCAGATCATTTAAGGTCAGGAGTTCGAGATCAGCCTGGCCAACATGGTGAGACCCCATCTCTACTAAAAAATATAAAAATTTGCTTGACATAGCAGTGCATGTCTATAATCCCAGATACTTGGGAGGCTGAGGCAGGAGAATCGCTTTAACCCGGGAGACGGAGGCTGCAGTGAGCCGAGATTGTGCCACTGCACTCCAGCCTTGGTGACAGAGTGAGGCTCTATCTCAAAAAATTAAAAATAAATTTAGAAACCACCACACATACATCTTTTTAAAAAGTCCTTCCTTTATAAAAGTGAAATCAAAAACAGGAAGAAGTGATTACACCAGATACACAGATATCAACATATGGATACAGAAAACATAAAGAAAAGCAAGAAATTATGAAACCTCCAAAAGAATACAATAATTCATCAGCAATAGATATTAATCAAAAAGAAATTTTTAAAACTCCAGATAAAGAATTCAAAATGTTGATTTTAAAGAAACTCAGTGAGACGCAAGAGAATTCTGAAAAACAATACAAAACATCAGAAAAACAATTTAGGATACGAATGAGAAATTTACCAAAGTCATAGATATTTTTAGAAATATAAATTCTGGAGCCGAAGAATTAATTAAGGGAAATACAAAATACATTTGCAAGCCTCAACAATAGATTAAATCAGGCAAAAGAAAAAATCTCATAACTTAATGACAGGTCTTTTGAAATAATGCAGTAAGACAAAAATAAAGGAAAAAGATTTAAAAATAATGAACAAAGCCTTCATGACACTTGGGATAACATAAAGTGACCAATTATATGAACTATTGTTATTCGCAAAGGTGAAGAGATAATAAAAAGAATAGAAAATCTATTTAATAAAATAATAAATGTAAACTTCTCAATGCAAAAATCATCTCTTATGTTAAAATCAGGCTATCTAAAGTCAATCATAAAGAGCAAATTCTAAAAACAGCAAGCAAAAGGCAACTAGTCAACTATAAAGGAAAACTCATCAGAACAACAGTGCATTTCTCAGGAGAAACCTTACAGTGTGGAAGATAATGAGATAATATATCCAAAGAAGTGTTGGAAAGAACACTATTAATATTCCCCCCCCAAATATCTTTCATCAATGAAGGAAAATAGTCTTTTCCAGATGAGCAAATGCTGAGAGAATTTGTTACCACTAGACTAGCCCTACAAGAAATGCTCAAGGGAGTTCTAAATTTGGAAGCAAAAGGATGGCATTTGCCATCATGAAAACATGTGAAAGTATAAAACTCACTGGTAAAGCAATCAGACAAAGGAGAGAAAGAAAGGACTCAAATGGCACCACTATAGAATTTCACCAGACTACAACAACTAACAATAAGAGAAAATGTAAAAAAACAAAGAATATATAAAACAGAAAACAACAATATAACAGGAACAAAGCCTCACATATCAATAATAACCTGAAAAAATGGACTAGATTCTCACTTAAAAGATATAGATAGGTTGAATGAATTTTTAAAATAAACTTACTATATGCTACTTAAAAGAAACTCACCTTATCATTAAAGACATACATTGATTGAAAGTCAAAGGATGGAAAAAGATATTCCATGCAAATGGAAACCAAAAGCAAGCAGGAGTAGCTACATTTCTGTCAGATAAAACAGATTTTAAGTCAAGAACAGTAAAAAAAAAAAAAAGACAAAGAAGGTCATTATATGATGATAAATGGATCAGTCTAGCAGGAAGATATAACAATTCTAAATATATTTGCACTTAAAAGTAAAGCACTCAGATTAATAAAGCAAGCATCACTAGGTCTAAAGGGAAAGATAGACTGCAATATATGACAGTGGGAGCCTTTAACATGTCATTCTCAGCATTAAACAGATTATTTAGACAGAGATTCAAAGAAAAGACATTGGATTTAAACTGGACTTTACACCAAATAGATCTAGCCAATACTTACAGAACCTTCTATCTAACAACTGCAGAATATGCATTCTTTTCTTCAACACATGGAACATTCTACAGGAGATGGTAGGCCACAAAATAAGTCTCAACAAGTTTTACAAACTCAAAATAATATTGAGTATCCTCTCAGACCATCATGGAATAAAAGTAGAAGTCAATATCAAGAGGAACTTTGGAAACTATACAAATACATGGAAATTAAACAACATGCTCCTGAATGACCATTGGGCCAAGGAAGAAATAAGTATGAAAATAAAATAAAATAAAATATTGAAACAAATGAAAATGGAAATGACATACAAAAACCTGTCAAATATAGCAAAAGGGGTGGTAAGAGGGATTTTTATACCAATAAATGACACAAACAAACAGCAAGATTACAAATTAACAATATAACAATGCAGATCAAGAAACTAGTAAAGCAAGGACAAACCAAACTCAGAATTAGAAGAAAAGAAATAATAAAGATCAGAGCAAAGCTACATAAAATAGAGATTAAAACAATACAAAGTATCAATGAAATGAAAAGTTATTCAAAAAGATAAACACAATTGATACATCTCTAGATAGACTAACCAAGAAAAGAAGAGAGAAGATCCAAATCAGCAAAATCATGAATGAAGGAGCCATTACAACTGATACCACAGAAATAAAAAAGATCACCAGAGACTATTATGAACAACTCTGTGCAGACAAATTGGAAAACCTACAGGGAATGGATAAATTCCTAGAAATATACAACCTATCAAGACTGAATCAGGAAAAAAATAGAAAACTTGAACAGATCAATAACAAGTAGTAAGATTGAGTCAGTCATAAAAGTCTCCCGAACAAAGAAAAGGACACAACTGGATGAATAAACAGCCAAATTCTACCAATAGTACAGAGAAGAACAAATTACCAATCCTCCTGAAACTATTCCAAAAAGTTGAATTGAAGGGAATTCTCCCTAACTTATTCTACAAGGCCAGGATCACCCTGACACCCAAACCTGACAAGAACACAACAACAAAAAAAGCCACAAGCCAATATTCTTAATGAACATAGGTGCAAAACAATCCTCAGCAAAACATTAGCAAACCAAATAAAACAGCATATCAAAAAGGTAACATACCATGATCAGGTGGGATTTATAAAAGGGATGCAAGGATGGTTCAACATATGCAAATCAATAAACATAATACATCACTTTAAAGAAAACAAAATTATTATCTCAATAGAAAAGCATTTGATAAAATGCAACATCTCTTTATGATAAGAACTCGCAACAAACTAGGCATAGAAGAAACATACCTCAAAATAATAAAAGCCATATAAAACAAACCCACAGGCAGAGTGTGGTGGCTCATTCCTGTAATCCCAGCACTTTGGCAGGCTGAGGCTGGTGGATCACCCAAGGCCAGGAGTTCGAGACCAGCCTGGCCAACATGGCAAAACCCTGTCTCTACTAAAAATACAAAAATTAGCCGGACATTGTGGTGGGTGCCTGTAATCCCAGCTACTTGAGAGGCTGAAGCAGGAGAATCACTTGAATTCGGGAGGCAGAGGTTGCAGTGAGCTGAGATCGTGCCACTGCACTCCAGCCTGGGTGACAGAGTGAGAGTCCATCTCAAAAACAAAACAAAAAACAAACAAACAAAAAAACCCACAGTTAACATCATGCTGAAAGGGGAAAAATTTTAAAGCCTTTCCTCTAAAAACTGGAACAAGACAAAGATGCTGAACTTTACCACTCCTATTCAACATAGCACTGGAAGTCCTAGACAGAGCAATCAGACAAGAGAAACAAATAAAAGACATCCAAATTGGAAAAGAGGAAGTCAAATTTTACCTATTTGATCTTATGCATAGAAAAACCTAAAGACTCCACAAAAACTTTATAGTTAATAAATGAATTCAGTAAAGTTGCAAGATACAAAATCAATGTACAAAAATCTGTAGCATTTCTATATACCAATAATTATCTACCCAAGAAATAAGTCAAGAAGGCAATTCCATTTATAATAGCTACAATAAAATAAAATAAAATACCTAGGAATAAGTATAACCAAGGAGGTGAAAGCCAAGCGAGACTACAAAATACTGCTGAAGGAGATTAAAGATGATACAAACAAATGGAAAATCATCTCATGCTCATGGATTGGAAGAATTAGTGTTATTCAAATGACCATATCTCTCAAAGTAATCTGCAAATGCAATTCAACTGCTACCAATATAACAACATTATTCTTCACAGAATTATAAACAAAAATCCTAAAATTCATATGGAACTGAAAAAGAGCCTGAATACCCAAAGAAATCTGGAGCAAAGAGAACAAAGCTGAAGGCATCATATTACCTGATTTCAAAATATATTCAAAGGCTACAGTAACCAAAATAACATGGTATTGGTTCAAAAGTAGACACATAAACCAATGGAGCAGAATAGAGCAACCAGAAATTAAAAGTCACGTATTTACAGCCAATTTTACCATTGACAAAGCTGTCAAGAACTTACATTGAGAACAGGACACTTTCTTTAATAAATGGTGCTAGGAAAATTGGATAGCCATATGCAAAATAGTGAAACTGGGCCCCTATTTCTCACCCTATACAAAAACCAACCCAAAAATGAAATAAAGAGTTAAGTGTGGAAACTAAAAGCACAAAAATTTTAGAAGAAAACCTAGGGGACTCTCTCCTGGACATTGGTCTAACCAAAACTTTTATGACTAAGACCTCGAAAGGATAAGCAACAACAAAAAATAGATGAATGGGACTTAACCTAACAAGCTTCTGCGCAGAAAAAAAAAATTAACAGGATGAAGGGACAGCCTTTTGAATGAGAGAAAATATTGCAAACTATGCATTCAGTAGGGGACTGATATCCAGAATATATGTGGAACTCAAGCAACACAACAGGAAAACAAAACAAAACAAAACAAAACAAAACAAACCACTACAATGTAGACAAAGAACATGAATAGACATTTGTCAAAAGAAGGTATAAAAACAGCCAACAGGTATATGAAAAAATGTTTAACATCACTACTCATTAGAGAAATGCAAATCAGAATTACAGTGAGATATCATCTTAGTCAGAATGGCTATCATTAAAAAGACAGAAAAATAACAGATATTGGGAAGGACACAGAAAAAAGGCATGCTTATACACTGTTGGTGGGAACATAATCTAGTAGAGCCACTATGGAAAACAGTATGCAAATTTCTCAAAAAGAAAAAAACTAAAAATAGAATTACCATTCAATCCAGCAATCCCACTGTAGGGTATCTACTCAAAGGAGAAAAAAAATCAATATATAAAAGGGGTACCTGCACTCATAGGTTTACTGCAGTACTACTTACATTAGCAAAAATATGGAATCAACCTAAATGTACATCAAATGAAACAATTGTGATATATATACACAATGGAATACTATTCAGCTATAAAAAAGAATGAAATCATGCTATTTGTAGCAATATGGATAAAATTGGAGGTAATTCTCTTAAGCGAAATAAGCCAGGTACAAAAAGACAAATATTGCATGTTCTCACTTATGTGTGGGGCTATAAAATCTTGTCACATGGGAGTAAATAACAAAGATGGAGAGGGCGAGTTGGGGAAAAGGAAGAGGATGAAGAAAGTGGATTAAGGGAGGGTGCAAATGTAAAATAGTCAAGATGGAATAAATGTAGTGTTTGATAGCAGAGTAGGGTGAATATTCTTAACTAAAATGTATTGCACTTGGGTGATGGACACATTCAATACACTGAGTTGCTTATTTTTATAACCTTCAATTATATGCAAAGCAATTTGATTTCAAAATATAATTTAATATTTATCAATGAGGAAAATCTTTTGAGTCCTATGAAGAAGCCCAGAGCTTAAAGTTACCCCCCTCCTTCACTTTATTTTGCATAGCATTACATAGCTGGTTTCACACAGCATTCAACTAAATATTTTTGAAACAAAGTAATAATTATTTAACTGATGAATTAAATATTGTGTATAATACTCTTAACAAGGGGAAAATAATAAATTAAATACTTCACTCTTGTTTTTGCATTTAAGAAAATATCAGTCTTGGTTTCTGTCAAGAATAGCCTTAAACTGGTTCTTAGGTTTAATTAAAAGCAGTTCTCCTTGTAATTTTATTTCTAAAGCTTTCTGGTTTTAAATCAACATAACTAAAAACAATTTCATAATTTTCTTAAAAACATAAAAAGAACCCATTTTCACCACCTCAATTATATACAGATTCAGATTTCAGCCACACAGGAGAAAATAAGAGCACCTTTTGGAAGAATGAAAAAAATGGTTGTCATAAAGCTCATGAGCTTTGCATGGGAGATATGTTCCAATTCTCAAACAAGTCAAATGACTTGGTAATTCATGTGGAGTTAAATGTATTCACTTAACAAACTTGTCTATTGGTTTCCTTGGAAACCTTCATTTTTTATCAAATGATGTTGGACATATGATTAGAAACACAGGAAGAAGGGCTAATACTTGACAATTTCAATGAAAAGAAAGCACAATGAGCAGCAGAATCACGATTTACCTGTAGTCGTTTACTTTAGAAACGAACTTCACCACAATAGGTCTCAAGGCACCAAAGGATTAGAGTTAGCAAAAGTGATGAGCTGAATTGTGAGTCCAGCTGGTCAAGAAAGTACTGTGTTACCATGATATTCTATGTAATAAAGCGAAGAACGGTTATACATTTTTACATAAGTATCTATCAAAATGTAAAAAGTTTTCAAATATTAGTCTTTAAAGGGACTGTTTTAGGTATCAGAAATGTTTGTACTTATTGAATATATTACTTCCCCCAATTAATAAATATGGAGCATTTTCATTCTTTAAACAGCTTAAGGTAATGAAAATAATTGTATAGAAGTAAATACTGCAAAAGTGAAGTCATTAACTGGGAAGAAATTCTTTTCTTTCGATATTAAAAGCAGCTCTGCAGGGCACGGTGGCTAATGCCTGTAATCCCAGCATTTTGGAAGGCCGAGGTGGGTGGATCACCTGAGGTCAGGAATTCAAGACCAGCCTGGCCAACATAGTGAAACCCCGTCTCTACTAAAAATGCAAATATTAACTGGGCGTGGTGGCAGGCACCTGTAATCCCAGCTACTCGGGAGGCTGAGGCAGGAGAATCCCTTTAACCTGAAAGGCAGAGTTCGCAGTGAGCAGAGATCGGACCATTGCACTCCAGTCTAGGCGAGAAGAGTGAAACTCTGTCTCAGAAAAAAAAAAAAAAAAAGGTATTAAAAGCAGCTGCATACAGTGTCTTGACAAGTTTAGGTAATAAAACTGTGAATAATTTTACATATACAGTAATGTATTTTATATACGTATGTGTGTGTACACACGCACATACACACACAATGGGTTGAATAAGCAAAAAGCAGTCTTGGTTCCTTTTGGTATTAAATAAAACCAGTAAGTGGAACAAGGTGTAGCCTTACTAGGAAATAATGGTGTTTTCTATCACAGTAAGTTGCTTTTATTTCTCTGAGAAAATAAGTACCTGCCCAAGCCATTTTTAGTTCTCATAAAAACACAAGCTTTTCTTCCCAAAGTAATATAGTTTGCTCTTTATTTGTTTACTCCAAACTCATTTTTTCATACTTTCACTCAACCATCATTTTTTACATTTAAATTCTAGTAATACTACATCATTTGTGTTTCTGTTATCTCTGGTCTCTGTGAATTTTCTAACCTAAGGCAATAGAAAATTTTTTAGTTAAAAATGGGAAATATCACCTGACTCTTAGAGGGCTGATAGTATGTGACTCTTGAGGAAGAAACTCTATTTTGACCACAACTAAGATAGATTGATGCAAAGGCAGAGCAAATAAATGCCTGGCCATGAATATTGGTAATATTCCATTATCAATGTGATCCAATGTAACTTTCTGCTATAATTGAAATGCTCTGTATCTGTGAAGCTTAATATAGTAGCTACTAGCTATATATGGCTATTAAACATTTGAAATGTGGTAGGTGGGATGAAGAAACTGAATTTTAAATTTTATTTGATGTTAATTAATGTAAACTTAAATAGCTTCATGTGGCTGCTGGCTACTATATTGGACAATGCAGTTCTATAGAATTAACCAAGATATAATTAATTTGGTTTAAGTATGGTATGTAGAATATTCATTCTAAGAAGTCCAATAGAATGAAGATGCTTTCAGATAAATGTAAAATATATACATTCTTTTTATACTCCACCAACATTCCCCCAGTAGATTATTGAGAGTCACTTAAAATGTTTCTTAGCTAGGCTCTTATAAAATTAAAAAATTTCTAAATACCTGGCACAAGATTTCCTCAGCGTGCCCCACATTTATTATTCGCCTCAATGAGGTTAAAAAATAAATATATTTAAGTCTGGCCGGGCATGGTGGCTCACACCTGTAATTCCAGCACTTCGCAAGGCTGAGTGGGGTGGATCACTTGAGTTCAGGAGTTCAAGACCAGCCTGGCCAACACAGTGATACCCTGTCTCTACTAAAAAAAATTCAAACAAGTAGCCAGTTGTGGTGGTGCATGCCTGTACTCCCAGCTACTCAGGAGACTGAGGAATGAGAATTGCTGGTACCTGGGAGGCAGAGGTTGCAGTGAGCTGAGATCACACTGCTGCACTCAAGCCTGGGGGGCAGAGGAAGACTCTGTCTAAATATATATATATATATATATATATGTGTGTGTGTGTGTGTGTGTGTGTGTGTGTGTATGCATATATTTATATGTATTATATATATGTGTGTGTATACATATACACATATATACACACATACACACACATATACACACACATATAAACACATATATACATTTATATGCGTATATTAATACATATATATTTAAGTTGATGGAGAGTATAACAGAGTTAGGCTGCTTATTTTCCACTTTTTGTTATAGAAAATGTCAAAATTATTTTGATAAAGGGGAAACACAGCATTATAAACCACCATATAATCTTTGTATTCTGATACTTCCACCTGTTTATCTCCAATTCTAGATAATTTTGAAACCCATCTTTGATAACTGACTTCAGAAGTCACACTGTTATCTGCTACTTGGTGCTGTAGTAAGAAACTGAATTATTTCTGAGGAGGGAAAATACAAAATTTATTTTCTTTAAAAAATATTGATCTGTCAAGAATAATGAAAATTCAAAGAAAAAATAAGGCAGAGAACAACAAAAAGATAAATAATTATCTCAGAATAAACCAATATTTAGAATCTGAATCACGGGTAGGCATAAAATAGTCATGGTTTTGTGCTAAATAATTAGTGAAGTGAATTCACTTATAGAAAAGAAACATTGTCCTCTTGACGAGCAATCTAACAAAACTTCATAAAGGTGGGAGAAATTTAGAAAATAAAAAAATGTAAAAACAATAAAATTTGAAGGTCTCTTTCTAGATTCTCATTCAATTCTCTACTGTTTTAGGCCAAACATGTAGCCTTTCCAGAATCAGGGCATTTACTGTGAATAGAACACCTGCTTCCCTTTGATGTGTATCTAGTGACTTTCTGACACAAAATGTCTGATGGAGGTAGATATGCCTCCTTTTACATCAGTGTGTAGCAGGGAGTGTCAAGGTCTTTGACACATTGTAGTATTCAGCATCATTCCTTAATGTCCTCAACAACTTTTATTTTCCAAAGTTCACCTCACAGAATTTTTTTTTGCCATTGATTCTTGACTGACTGTTTATTTATGACTTGTTTTTTAACTTTATAAATTATGCAATTATCCCCAGTTTTTAATTTTTGAACTTTTTTTCTTTCTACTTTTGTAACTTCAGAAGCATATGTGACCATCAAGCTTAATCACTATGACTCTGTCTCAACCTACAGAATGAAAATAAATAATGTCCACAGAAGCGAAGCATTACTTTATAAATTGTGATTACAAAAGACAAGTTTCTGGGCACTGTGCTGAGCAATAGTGTTCAGATATTATAAAGTTGTATATTTTGGGAGGTTTATTTATCTGACAGCATTTAACGGCAAACTTTCCTATGGTTGTTAAGAATGAGAGTGCAGCCAATATGACCAGGAATATCTAATCTTTTAAATACATTTAACTGGAAGGCAGGATACAGGGGGAAGAAAATATAATAATTAAACAATGGTTTATTCATGCAGTAGAATCTAGTCAGCATTTGTCATGAATGAACTAGAGAGGGAACTAGACTTGATCGTCAGTTAGAAAATATATCAATATACAGAATATTGAGTGAAGCCAAGGAAAGTACCAAATGATATAGTGTATTAATGCTATGTATATAAAAATTAAGATACACACAAAATGATTCACATATTATATCATATATCATATTATAAATATATAGTTTATGTACATTAGATATACATAAGTATTACATATTCACATATTACACATGTGTGTATAAACACACACACACATATATGTAAGTTTAAAAGTGCATGGTGATAAGAATGGCAGAAATTTTTTACAAGATATGTATCTGATAAGTGACTCATAGCCAAAATACATAAAGAACACTTGTAACTCAACAAAAAGACAAATAAGCAAATTTTAAAATGAGCAGTGGATTTGAATAGACCTTTCTCCAAGGAAGATAAACAATGGCCAATAAATACATGAAAGAATGTTCAGCATCATCACTCATGAGTTAAATGCAAATCAAAACCACAGTGAAACTTCACACCCACTAGGATTTGGAGAAATTAGAACCCTTATGTATTGCTAGGGGGAATAAAATGTGGTGCAGCTACTTTGTAAAACAGATAACTCCACAAAATATTAAATTTAGAGTTTGATGTCACAATTCCATTTCTAGGTATGTACAGAAGAGAAATAAAAATATGTCTACACAAAAATGTATAAATGAATGCTCATAGCAACATTTTTCATAACAGTCAAAAAGTGGAAATAACCGAAATGTTCATTAAATGATGAACTAATTAAATCAATATAGTGCAAATCAATATAGTGCAACATTATTAGGCAATAAAAAGAAATGGATTACTGATCAATACTACAAGATGAATGAACATTGTAAATATACTAAATAAATGTAGTTAGTCCCAAAAGACCACATATTGTATAATTTCATTTACATCAAATGTCCAGGATAGGCAAGTATATAGAGACAGAAAATAGATTATTGGTTGCCAAGGGCTGATAGTGTTTGAGAGGAATAGGAAGTAACCACTAATGACACAGATTTCTTTTGGGGGGAGGGGGTGCTGCTGCTATAGTTTTGTTTGTTTGACTCTTCTAAATCTCCTCTTGGAGGTGGGGCTTAAAGAGAGGTGTTTGCATCCTGGAGGCAGATCCCTTATGAATAGATTAATGCCCTCCCTTGGGGGTGAGTGGGTTCTCACTATTATTTCCCACCAGGGAAGGCTGTTAAAAACAACAAAAAATCCAGACTGGCACCTCCTCCCTTTTGCTTGCTTTCTCTCTTACCATATACATGCTTGCACATGTCAAGTCCCCTTTGCCTTCTATCATGAGCAGAATCATGAGCCAAATGAACCTCTTTCCTTTATAAATTACCCAGTCTTGGGTATTTCTTCATAGCAACACAAACAGGCTAAGACAGGAAATTAGTACTGAGAGTTTGGTGTTGCTATAAAAATACCCCAAAAATGTGAGAATGGCTTTGGAACTGGGTAATGGGCAAAGGTTGGAAGAGTTTCCAGGGCTCAGGAGACAAAAAGACAAGGGAAGTTTGGAACTTCTTACAGACTGAAGAATAGATGGTTGTAACCAAAATGCTGACACAAATGTAGACAGTAAAGGCCATACCGACAAGGTCTCAGATGGAAATGAGGAACTTATTTGGAAGTGGAGCATAGGCCATCCTTGTTACATTGTGGCAAAGTACTTGTCTGTATTGTGTCCATACCTGAGGGCTCTGTGGAAGACCAACCTTAAAAGTGATGACCTAGGGCATCTGGTGGAAAAATTTTCTAAGCAGCGAAGTCTTCAAGAAGCGAAGTGGCTGGGAGATGGAAGAAGATGGCAGAATAGAAAGCTCCACTGATCATCCCCTCCAACAAGGGCACAAAGTTAACAACTATCCACCAATCAAAAAACACCTTAATAAGAGCCAAAATTCAGATGAGCCCTCATAGTACCTGTTTTTAACTTCATATAGCTGAAAGAAGCACTGAAGAAATAGATAAAACATTTCTGAATTGCTGACACCACCTTCACCTCCCAAGCAGCAGCAGTGTGCTGCGGAGAGCATCTCTGGGCACTGGGGGAAGAAGAACACGGGAATTGTGAGGCACTGAACTCAGTACTGCCCTGTTAAAGCAGAAATGAAAACCAGACCAAACTCAGCTGATGCTGGTCCATGGAGGGAACATTTAAACCAGCCCTAGCCAAAGGAAAATTACCACTCCCAGCAGGCGGAAACTGAGTTCCTGCGAACTTTGTCACACAACCGAGGGCTACAGCACTCTCTGTCTCCAAGTAAACTTAAAGGTAGTCTAGGACATTGGGACTGCAACTCTTTCGAGAGTCCTAGTGCTGAACTAGGCCCAGAAACGGTAAAATGCCGAGGGCATGGGACATGCTGACACACCAGTCTGGAGGCCAAGAGAGAGTGCTGGAATTACCACTATCCTAACTCCAGGCTGCACAGCTCACAACTCCAAAAGACGCCCCTTCCTTCTGACTGAGGAGGGGAAAGGGAAAAGTGGGGAGGACTTTGTCTTACATCTAGAATACTGGCTCACCCACAGTAGGATAGGATACCATTCAGAGTTGTGAGGCACCTATTTCAGGCCCTAGCTCCCAGATGACATTTCTACACAAAACCTGGGCCAGAAGAGAATGCATTACCTTGAAAAAAAGATCCATTCCTGGCAGCATTCATCACCCACTAACTGAAGAGGCGGTGGGCTCTTAATAAACAGCAGTGATACCCAGCGTAGTAGTCCGTTTTCACACTGCTGATAAAGACATACCCAAGACTGGGCAATTTACAAAAGAAAGAGGTTTAATTGGACTCACAGTTCCATGTGGCTGGGGAAACCTCACAATCATGGCGAAAGGCAAGGAGGAGCAAGTCACATCTTACATGGATGGTACAAGGCAAAAAGAGCTTGTGCAGGGAGACTCCCATTTTTCAAAACCACCAGATCTTGTGCATGAGACTTATTCACTAGCATGAGAACAGCATGGGAAAGACCTGCCCCCATGATTAAATTACCTCCCACTGGGTCTCTCCCACAACATATGGGAATTCAAGATGAGATTTGGATGGGAACACAGCCAAACCATATCACCCGGCTACTACATCAAGGGCATTGGGTGAGTCAGTGAGACTTGATGGCTTCAGGTGAGACTCAGCACATTCCTAGCTATGGTGGCTATGGGGCAAAACTCCTTCTGCTTGAGAAAAGCAGAGGGAAATGTAAAAGGGACTTTGTCTTACACCTTAGGTACCAGCACAGCCACAGTGGGTAGTGCACCAAGTGGGCTCTTGGGGTCCCTGATTCCAGGACTTGATTCTTGGATGGCATTTCTGGACCTGCCCTGGCCAGAGGGGAGCCCACTGCCCTGAATGGTGAATTCTAGGCCAGGCAGCATTCACCGCAAGCTGACTGAAGAGACCTTGGGCCTTAAGGGAACATTGATGATAGTCTGGCAGTATTCCTGGTGGCCTGGGGTGATGGTGGCTATGGGGTGAGGCTCCTCTGCCTTTGGAAAGGGGACAGAAAAGTGGCAAGGTCTACATCTTGTGATTTGAGTGGCAGCTCTTGTGGTTTAAGTGGCAGCTCAACTGCAATACAATAGAACGCCAGGTAGACTTCTAAGGTTTTTGACTCTAGACCCTGACTTCCGATGGGACTTCTGGACCTGATTATGGCCTAGAAGAGTTCACTGTCCTGAAGGGAGAGACATAGGCCTGGCTGGCTTTGCCACATGTTGATTGTAGAGTCCCAGGGCCTTGAACAAACATAGGCAGTAGCCAGGGAGTGGAGACAACATGCCTTGGGTGAGACCCAGTGCTGTACTGGTTTCAGGTAACACAGCACAGTCATAGTGGTGGTGGCCACAGCAGTGTTTGTGTCACTCCACACCATAGCTTGAGATGGCTCAGAGCAGAAAGAGAGAGAGACTTGGTATGTTTAAGAGAGAGTAAGAGAAGACAAGAGTCTCTGCCTGGTAATCCAGAGAATTCTAATGGATTTTGTCCAAAACCAACACAGTGTACCTCTACAAGTCTGCAAGAACCACAGCATAGCTGGGATGGGGGTTCTCTCTAAAGAAGATAGAGCTTAGAACACAATACCTAAGTCCTCTCAAATATCTGGAAACCTTCCCCAAGCAGGACTGCTACCAATAAGCTCAGATAGTGAAGAGTACAATAAATACCTCACTCTTCAATGCCCAGACACCAAATAATATCTACTAGCATGAATACCATCCAGGAAAGCATGACCTTGCAATATGAACTTAGTAAGGCACCAGGGACCAATACTGGAGAAACAGAAATATGTGTCCTTTCAGACAGAGAATTCTAAATAGCAGTTTTGAGGAAACTCAAAGAAATTTAAGATAGCAAATAGAAAAAAATCAGGATTTTATCAGATACATTGAACAAAGAGATTGAAATAATTAAAAAGAATCAAGACGAAATTCTGGAGCTGAAAAATGGAATGTATACTGAAGAATGCATGAGAGTCCTTGAATAGCATAATGGATCAAGCAGAAGAAAGAATTAGTAAGCCTGAAGACATAGTCAGAGGAGACAAACGAAAAAAAAAATACACAGAGGAGACAAAAGAAAAAATAAAAAACAATGAAACATGCCTACAGGATCTATAAAATAGCCTTGAAAGGGCAAATCTATGCATTATTGGCCTTAAAAAGGAGATAGAGAAAGTGATAGAAGTAGAAAGTTTATTCAAAGGGATAATAACAGAGATCTTCCCAAACCTAGAGAAAGATATCAATATCCAAGTACAAGAAGATTATAGAACACCAAGCAGATTTAAGCCAAAAAGACTACATCAAGGCATTTGATAATCAAACCCCTAAAGGTCAAGCATAAAGAAAGGATTCTAAAAGCAGCAAGACAAGAGAAACAAATAACACATAATGGAGCTCCAACATGTTTGGGTGAGACTTTTCAGTGGAAACATTGGAGGCCAGGAGAGGGTGACATGACATATTTAAAATGCTCAAGGAAAAAATCTTTTATATTAGAATGGTATATCCAATGAAAATACTTTTGAAACACAAAGAAATAAACAGCGTTCCAGACAAACAAAACCTGAGGGAATTCACTGATATCAGGGCTGTCCTATAAGAAATGATCAAGGAAGTACTTCAGTCAGAGAGAAAAGGACATTAATAAGCAATAAATAATCACCCTAAGGTGCACAATTTACTGTAAGTACACAGGAAAACACAGAATATTATAATACGGTAACTGTGATGTGTCAACTACTCTAATCTTATGTAGAAAGATTAAATGATGAACCAATTAAAACTAATAAATACAACAACTTTTCAATATGTAGCTAATACAATGAGATATAAATAAAGAAAAATGAAAAGTTAAAAAGCTGGGAGATAACATTAAGGCATTGACTTTTATTAGTTAATGTTTTGCTTGTTTGTTTGTTAGTTAATGTTAATGCAAACAGTTTTCAATTGTTAAAATAATGGCTTATAAAATAGCATTTGCAAGCCTTATGGTAACCTCAAACCAAAAAATGTACAATCATTACACAAAAAATAAAAAGCAAGATACTGAATCATATCACTAGAGAAAATAACCTTAACTGCAGGAAGACTGGAAGGAATGGAAAAAAAGAAGATGATACCAGAAAACAAATAAAAAAATAGCAGGAGTACATTCTTTCTTATCAATAATAATATTGAATGTAAATGGAATAAACTTTCCAATCAAAAGATGTAGACTGGCTAAATGGATGAAAAAATAAGACCCATTGACCTGTTGCCTCCAAGAAACACACTTCACCTATAAAGACACACAGACTGAAAATAAACAGATGGAAAAAGATATTTTATGCCAACTGAAACAAACAAACAAAAAGCAGGAGCTGCTATAATTATAGCAGACAAAATAGATTTCAAGACAAATACTATATGAAGAGATAAAAAAGTCACTATATAATGATAAAGGGGTCAATTTAGAAGAAGATATAACAATTTGAAACATATACTCACTAAACACTGCAGCACCCAGACACATAACGAAAATACTATTATAGCTAATGAGAGAGATAGGCTCCAATACAATAATAGCTGGAGACTTCAACACCCCATTTTCAGCATTGGACTGATCTTCCAGAAAGAAAATCAACAAAGAAACATCGGACTTAATCTGCACTACAGGCCAAATGAATCTAATAGATATTTACAGAGCATGTTGTCCAAGAGCTATAGAATACACATTCATTTCCTCAGCATGTGGATTGTTCTTAAGGATAGACCATATGTTAGGACACAAAACAAGTCTTAAAACATTCAAAAGAAATTGAAATAATATCAAGCATCTTCTCTGACCACAATGGAATAAAACTAGAAAGTAATAACAAGAAGAATTTTGGAAGCTATACAAATACATGAAAATTAAACAATATGCTTCTGAATGATCAGTGGATCAATGAAGAAATTAAGAAGGAAATTGAAAATTTTCTTAAAACAAATGGTAATGGAAACAACATGCCAAAACCTATGGGATACAGCAAAAACAGTACTAAGAGGGAATATTATACCTATAAGTACCTATATCAAAAATAAGGGAAAACTTCAAATGAAAAAAATTTTTTTTACATTTATGAAAGATTTTTATTATTTTTTGTGTGTGTGTGTGTGTGTTTAGTGTGTATTTTATTTTCTAGTGACCAGATTAAGACAAGCAACCTAAATAAAGAATGTGGGGACTGTACCTCTCTTCAGAGCCAACATCACTTAGAAGGTAAAAAGCTTATTTGAAAATAATAGTTGCTGTAAAAAATAAACTGTAGTAATTTATTGTTTGCTATTATGATGTACCTAAGGAGAAAACCCTATATGACTATAAAAAATATTTTTAAATAACCCTAAAATATCAATAAACAAATTTTATTAAGTTAATATATGTTTTAATGAAGTACACGTGGAAAGAAGGAAACCAGCATTCTTTTTTGTATGTATATTGTCATACAAAAGAAAGCATGCTATACTTTCCACATTGGCTTCACAAAGTGTTAATAATGGTTTTGTATCTTACTTTTTATCTGATTGGATAACTATTGCTTTTGAAGTTTGCAGCCTTTCTTAATGTGTTGTTTGGATATGTCTCTGATACTAAAGATAGCATTAGCTTGCTTCCTTTTTTGATTTAGACGATGAAGTCTTTCCATTTTTTTTTAGTAGCAGTTTGCATTTTTTTCTTTTCTTTTTTAATTATGCTTTAAGTTTTAGGGTACATGTGCACAATGTGCAGGTTTGCAATTTAACTATACATCTTAAAGAAAAGCAAGAGCAAACCAAACTCCAAGTTAGAAGAAGAAAAAAATGAAGATCAGAGCAGAAATAAATGCAATTGAAATGAAAAAAATACACAAGATCAATGAAACAAACAGTTGGTTTTTTGAAAAATTAAACAAAATTGACAAAACTTTAGCCAGACTGAGAAAAAAAGGAGAAGATCCAAACCAATAAAATAAAAAATGAACAATAAGACATTAAAACTGATGCAGCAGAAATTCAAAGGGTCCTTAGTGGCTACTAAGGGCAACTATATGCCAATAAATTTGAACATCTAGAAAAAATAGGTACATTTCTAGATGCATGTAACCTACCAAGATTGAACCAGGAAAATCCAAAAGCTGAACAGACCAGTAACAAGTAATGAGATAGAAGCCATTATAAAAAGTCTTCCACTAAAGAAAAGCCTGGGACTTGATGGTTTCACTGCTGAATTCTACCAAACATTTGAAGAACTAATATCAATCCTACTCAAACTATTCTGAAAAATAGAGGATGAGGGAACACTTCCAAACTCATTCTACAAGGCCTGTATTACCCTGATGCAAAACCAGAAAAGGATATATCAAAAAAAGAGAAAAATACCGGCCAATATGTCTGATCACTATTGATATAAAAATACTCAACAAAATACTAGCAAACCAAATTCAACAATACATTAGAAAGATTATTCATCACGACCAAGTGGGATTTATCCCTGTGATGCAAGGGTGGTTCAACATATGCAAATCAATCAATGTAATACATCACATCAACAGAATGAAGAATAAATACCATGTGATCATTTTAATTGATGCTGAAAAAGCATTTGATAAAATTCAACATCCCTTCATGATAAAAACCCTCAAAAAACTGGGGATACAAGAAAGTTACCTCAATATAATAAAAGACAGATAGGATAGACTCATAGCTAGTATCATACTGAATGGGGAAAAACTGAAAGCCTTTCTTCTAAGATTTGGAACATGAGAAGGATGCCCACAGTCACTACTGTTATTCAACATAGTACTCAAAATCCTAGCTACAGCAATCAAACAATAGAAGTAAATAAATTGTATCCAATGTGGAAAAGAAGAAGCTAAATTATTTCTTCTTCCTAGAAGAAAACCTAGAAAGAAATTCACCCACCTACAGTAGCCTTATTTTTGACAAAGGTCTCCAGAACATACACTGGAAAAATGACAATCTCTTCAATAAATGTGCTAGGAAAACTGGATATCCGTATGTAACAGAATGAAACTAGACCCGTATCTCTCCCCATTTACACAAATCAAATAAAAATGGATTAAATTTTAAATCTAAGACTTGAATCTATGTAACTACTACAAGAAAACGTTGGGGGAAAATCTCTAGAAAATTGCAAAAATTTATTAAACAATACCCCACAAACGCAGACAACCATAGCAAAAATGGACAAATGGGATAACATCAATTTAAAAAGCTTCTGCACAGAAAAGGATACAATCAGCATAGTGAAGAGACAATCCACGGAACGGGAGAAAATATTTGCAAACTACCCGTCTGACAAGGGATTTATAACCAGAATATACAAGTACTCAAACAACCCTATAAGAAAAAAATATAATAATTCAATCAAAAATGGGCTAAGATTTGACTAGACATTTCTCAAAAAAAGACATACAAAGGGCAAACAGGCATATGAAAAGCTGCTCAACATCACTGACCATCAGAGAAATGCAAATCAAAGCTACAGTGAGAGATCATCTTAGCCCAGATAAAATGGCTTATATTCAAAACACAGGCAATAAAAAATGCTGGTGTGGACGTGGAGAAAAGGAAACCCTCGTACACTATTAGTGGAAATGTAGTAGTACACCATTATGGAGAACAGTTTGGAGGTTCCTCAAAAAGCTAAACATTGAGCTACCAAAAGAGCCAGCAATCCCACTGCTGGCTATATGCTCAAAAGAAAGGAAATCACTATATTGAAGAGATAACTGCACTCCCATATTTGTTGCAGCATTCTTTGCAACAGCTAAGATTTGGAAGCAACCTAAGTTTCCATCAACAGATGAATGGATAAAAAAAATGTGGTACATATACAAAATGGAGTACTATTCAGCCATAAAAAAATTAGATGCAATTTTTTGCAACAACATGGACAGGACTGGAGATCATTCTGTTAATTGAAATAAGTCAGACACAGTAAGACAGATGTTGCCATGTTCTCACTTATGTGTGGGATTTAAATATCAAAACAATTGAACTAATGGGCATAGAGAGTAGAATGATGGTTACTGGAGGCTTGGAAGGGTAGTGAGAGCCTAGCAGTGGGGCCGAGATAGGGTTGGTTAACAGGTGCAAAAAAAATTAGAAGGAATGAATAAGATCTACTATTTGGTAGCACAATAGGATGACTATAGTCAATAATAACTTAATTGTACACTTTAAAATAAAGAGGGCAATTGAGTTATTTGCAATACAAAGGGTAAATGCTTGAGGGGATGAATACCCCATTCTCCACGTTGTGCTTGTTTCCCATTGCATACCTGTATCAAAACATCTCATGTACCCCATAAATATATACATCTACTATGTATGCACAAAATTTTTTTTAAAAAAGTGAAATGGCTGCATTTAACAGCTCATGGTAATATATGGCAGCAATGGAATGGCCCAGAAATGGAATTTATAATTGAAAAACAGTGGAGCACAAAAATTGGAAAAATCTGCAGCCTGGCCATGTGTTAAAGGAAGAAAGACAATTTTCAAGAGATGAATCCAAGGATACTGTGGAGTAGGAGTTACCACTTGCTAAAGAGATTAGCATGACTTAAAGGGAGCTGAGTGCTAATAGTCAAAACAATGTTGAAAAGTCCCCAGTGACACTTCAGAAATCTTCAAGACTGCCCCCTCCTCCTCTCCTATCTAGACTCTGAGGCCTCGGAGGACGGAATAGTTTCAGGGGATGGGCCTGAGTTGCCATTGCCCTGTGCTGTCTTAGGATATTGCTCCCCACATCCTGGATGGTCTGGCTCCAGATGTGACTCAAGGAGCCCAAGTACTACTGCTCAGGCTGTTTCTCAGGGCAGAGCAAGCAGCAATCTTTAGTGGTGTCCATATGGTGGTAAGTCTGCAGGCAACCAGGATGCAAAAGCCTTGGAGGCTTAGCAGCTTAGAGGATGTATTAGAAAGCCTGAGTGTCCAAGCAAGAATGTGCCATAGGGGTGGGGCCAACACAAAGAGTAACCACCTGGAAAGTGTCTAGTGTGGTGTTGGAACAGGATCTCTGCTGTTCAGACCCCAAAATTATACTGCCAGTGGAAGCATGCAACCTCTGCCTAGAAAAGCTATAGGCATTTAACTCCAACCCATGAGAGAAGCCACAAGGGCTGTACCCAGCAAAGCTATGAAGGTACGGGTCCCTGAGGCTTTGGGAGCTCATTCCTCACACCATTGTGCCCAGGATGCTGGACATGGAGTAAAGAGAGATTTGCAAGCTTTGAGATTTTAGATCTGCCCTGTTGTGTTTTGGACTTGCATGGGGCCTGTTACCACTTTCTTTTGGTTGATTTCTCGCTTTCAAGATGGGAATGTTTATCCAATGCCTGTACCACCATGGTACCTTAGAAGTATCTAATTTGTTTTTTATTTTACAGGCTCATAGCTGAAAGAGACTTACCTTGAGTCTCAGGTGAGACTTTGGATATTTGAGTTGGTGCTGGAAAAAGTTAAGAGTTTTGGGGATTATTGGCATGAGGCAATTGTATTTTACATGTGAGAATGGCAGAAAATTTTGGGGACCGGGGTGGAATGCTCTAGTTTGGTTTGTTTGAGCCCTTCAAATCTTATGTTGAAATTTGATCCTCAATGTTGGAAGTAGGGCTTGATGGGTGGTATTTGTGTCATGGGGGCAGATCCTCATGAATAGATTAACGCCCTCCCTTGGGAATGAGTGAGTTCTTACTACTAGTTACCATCAGAGCTGGTTGTTAAAAAGAGACTAGTATCTCCCCCTTTCCCCACTTATTTTTTCCTCTCTCACCCTGTGAGCTCTGCATATGCCAGCTCCCTTTTGCCTTCCTCCATGAATGAAAGTAGTCCAAGGCTTTCACCAGATACCCAGTGTTTCAGCCTGCAGAATTATAAGCCAAATAAACCTCCTTTCTTTACAAATTACCCAGCCTCAGGTATTCTTTTATAGCAATACAAATGGACTAAGACAGGAGTCAACCACATTCTAACATTCCATTGTAGTGATGGTTACATACCCTGTGAACAGTGGATTATATGGCATGTGGATTATACCTTAATAAAATAGTTTTTAAAAATACATCAGGATAATATATACTACCTTTGGAGTCACAGCTAGATTAAACAGAGAGTAGAAAAAGATGCAAATACTTTTTATTTACATGTACAACTTTATTTCTTTTTAATGCACAATGTTGAAAGTTATTAAATATTGAGTTTTTGATACATGGTATCAAGTTATAATATTTTTGCCCTTTTATAAGTTTTAAATAGTTCACATTAAAATATTAAAACACATATTTGAAAAACAGTTACTGTCACATGAATGTTATTTATTATTCATAATTCTCTTAGGTCTGAGTTATTATGTCATTTTTATATACAACGGAATTGAGGTTGGAGGGAGCTTGAGTTCAGTAAAGTTACATAAGTGGTGATAACAAGATTTGAACCTAGATCCCTTTAAATTATCCTCCTCCCATCATGCCGTACTACTTAGTCATCTGCCTAACAAAGCAATTTTAGAAAGAAATATTAAAGTAAAATTTCCATTAGTATTTAACTTTAAAAATATTTTATTTTGACATCACTTATACTCAACTCCTTTCGGTTTATCTTCAACCTTCCAAATGGCTTGGCATCAAAACACCTCTGGCTGTTTGCCTGGCAGGATTTTAATGATCTCTTTAGCCTTCTCAGGGGTAGTTGTTAAACCTCCCACTTCTCATGGTAAACGGTGATGGCTTGTCAACATCTCCTTTCGCTTTAATGCTGAAATACTCCAGCACATATCTCATCTTTTTGCTTCTGTGTCTTCAGGTTTTTAATGAAAATATACTTTTATAGCATGGTGAGGTCAACTAGCCTTGCTTCAACTTGTTTACAAGTCTCTAAGCCTATAATTCCCAACTTAAACTCAGATTAGAATTATCTACAGAATTTAAAAAATACTAATTCCCTAGAAATACTGATTTTTAAACATTCTTGCCTATTTTTAAATGTTTACTATCTACAATTTTAAAGTTTCTCTTACTCTACAATTTTCTCCTCCAACCCGTTATTTCCTTATACAGATGTTTCTCAACTTACAGTGGGGTTACATCCCTTTACAAACCTCTCATAAATTGAAAATATCATAAATTGAAAATGCATTTAATACCCTCCCAATAAACCCATATTAACATTGAAAACCCGTAAGTCAAACCATAGTAAGTCAGAAATCATCTGTAATTAATCTGTTAAAGATCCAGGCCATTTGATCTGTTGAGTTTTTCATAGTTTAGATTTTGCTGATTGCATTCCCATGGTATAGTTCAGCATGTTCTTCTGTTCTCTGCATTCCCTATAAGTTGGAAGCTGGTTGCAGAGGCTTGATTGCACTCAAGTTTGTTCTTTAACAACCTTCTAGGGGGTATTACATTCTTACACCAGGATATATTTGTTTGTTTCCCTTTCTGTAATGGTATCATCTATTGATGCTCACTATATAGAAGTATTAATTCATTAAAGCTTGCAAAGTGGTGATATTTTAATTCCATAATTTCTTTTTTACTTATGAATTGGAACAAATTATATAAAGAAATAATTGTCCCTATCTACTATTTGAAAGCGTAAATGTTTGACTCTTTTTCTGTATTTACCTGTTTTCTAGGTAATTATTTCTTATCATCTTTGGAAATGACCAGTTTTTAGTTTTAAAATGTTATCATTGAATTCATGTACTTAAACATACTTGATGTGTTTTGATCCATTGCATTTAGTATTCTTATAAAGCTAAATTGTACCATATTTGGTCAGTGGAAGCCTCTTCATTTTAGCTTCTATGGTCCTTTGATATGAGTAGTAGTGTTTGAGAGCTTTCATGTTATCTAGTATGAAAGATGATGCAAACTCATCTTGCACATTTCCTACCAAAGACATGGACTCATTAATTTATTCAAGACATCTTTGTCTATTTTAGTGGAAAATAATATTACCAGGTCACAATCTGGGGATGATGGATGCTACTAGATTTATTATTATTTCTAGGCCTTTTTAGTAGTGGCAAGAACTGTAATATGTAAACAAATACACATATTATTTAAAAATATAACACTTCATAAGTTTATATTTACCCTTTTAATTACAATACACACCAATAGGAATTTAATGTAACTTTTTCTGTATTATAATTATATTTCTATAGACAAGGTATAATAGAATGAAAATATTCCATAGTTACTAATTTGCTTTAATCGTATAAGACCAAATACTACAGGAAAATACTGTTTTTACTCAAGTATGATCATGAAAGATAGTTATTTTTATCATATGATATCTACTTTTCCCATATTTTTAATAAATATACTATATTATTATTAACAAAGAATATAGTCATTAAATACCACATATATTCATTTTAACATTTATTTAACCTTCATTCCACAACTGTTTCCTTTTGCTGATAATAAGTCCTTATGTCAATGTCTACATAGTCATTTTGGTGATCAAGTTCATTCTCTACTAGATTCTTTAGGGCATGCTCATGGGAACATAGTTCTCTGATTCCTCCATGTTGACTACAGATTCCCTTTATCCTCTCTACCTAAAAGTTCATTTTGCTAGATATAAAATACTTGGCCACATTTTCTTTTGCGTTACTTACATAAGTTGTTCTAATTTTTTTCCCGATAAAAAGTATTCTTTTTTTTCTTTCTTTCTTTCTTTTTTTTTTTTTTTATATGGAGTCTTGCTCTGTCACCCCGGCTGGAGTGCAGTGGCATGATCTTGGCTCACTGCAGTTTCTGCCTCCTTGGTTCAAGCGATTCTCCTGCCTCAGCCTCCAGAGAAGCTGGGACTATAGGTGCGTGCCACCACACCTGGCTGATTTTTTGTATTTTTAGTAGAGACAGGGTTTCACTGTGTTAGCCAGGATGGTTGTGATCTCCTGACCTCGTCATCCACCCACCTTGGCCTCCCAAAGTGCTGGGATTATAGATATAAGCCACTGTGCCTGGCCGATAAAAGATATTCTTAAAAAAAAGTATCCTAATTTTTATTGCAGGAAAGTATCCTTGAATAAGAGGGGTTTTTGGCTTTTAAAAACTCCTTTGCTTATATTTTCCTTTTCAGGAACTCCTATGGCCCATATGTTGGATCTTCTTTGTCTAGCTTCAATCTGAATTTCTTTCCAATCTTTTTTCTCTTTTTCATCAATTCATTTTAAATTTTACACATTCCTCCTTCTTAATTTCCATTTATCTTAAGATATAATGTTTTAGGTTTATTTGTTTTTGTGTTCCTTCTAATTTAGTTTTCTTTTCTGAAACTATTTTTTCCTCTTATTTCTAATTCTTTGCTATACTCTGGGATCAGATTTCTCTTTTTCTCTAACTTTGGTTCATGTTGCTCTTTTGTGTTTTATATTATTTTCTTCATATATCTCTACATCACATTAAAATAATATGCTACAGTTTTAATCTGTTTATGGTCATTTTTCTGGCATACTTTTATTATCTCTATAGATGCAATTTGGTATTTATTATTTTTTGTTAAAATAACTTTAAGTAAATTTGACCTCCATAGCTTTTTGTTGGTCATTTTTATGTGAAATTGGTATTCCTGAATTCTTAAAAGGAAGTGGTATATCTTTTTCAAGTTCAATATTCCTTCTCTCTCTCTCTTTCTCTGCATGTGTATGTGTGTGTGTATGTTTGTGTATATGTATCTATTATCTGTCTATTATCTATCTATCTATCTATCTATCTATCTATCTATCTATCTATCTATCATCTATCTATCTTCTATCATCCCTGTCTCCCTGCAGCATTAAAATATCTGTCCGCTTGCTTTCTAAGATTTCCTGTTTTTCCCCCTTCCACATTTTTGGTAGGCCTTTTCTTTTTTAAAATTTTATTGTTTCTCTCATGCTTAACATTGACTTATTCCCAGCAGTTTCTTCTTAGCATAAAACTCTTTTAGAAGAAAGCTCTGTTTGGCCAGTTTTGAACCTTTTCAGGGACTTGATTGCTCCAATCATTTTAGGGTTTTTTTTGGTGTCTTTATACTTATTCATCACTAAAGTGAGCAAAACCTCACTCTGTTTCAGCTGTTATCCTTAAATTAACTCTTTCTCCTGGTACGTACCGAAGAGTATATTTTAGGGTTCTCCTAAAATGTAGGGTTGGCATTTTCAAGTCCATCCAATGCTTGATTGCTTCCCTCTCTTTTCTCCCCACTGCTTCCTCATGCACCAGCACTGAGACTCTGCAGTTCTGATGGCTGTTGGAGATCCCCCACCACCTGTGTTTTGTGGCTCAGAGTTATCTTGTGATTTAGTTTTGTGGTAAATGCTGTTCGTGTGTGTGTGTGTGTGTGTGTGTGTGTGTGTGTGTGTGTGTTTTGGTGTGACTATCTACAAACTCAGTTTTTACACTGGGATTTGGGAAAATTAAAAATGATAACATCATTGATGCTATGATTACATTACTGCTCATATTCCCATATTTCTTCCAAATTTAATTGATCTTAGCCTGAGCATTGTTATTATTTTTAAAATTCCCCAGGTGACATAATTGTGCAGATTGAGAACCAGTGGTCTCATTCAAATAAGGAAACACATTTTTTAATGGACAAGTAAAAATTATATATATTTTTGGCGAAGGACATAATGTTTTGGTATGTCTGTACACTATGGAATGGCTAAATCCAGCTGTTTAACATATGCATTACTTCACATATTTATAATTTTTTTGTGGTGAGAACACTCAATATTTACCCTGTTTACATTTGTAAGTGTACAATTTATTGTTACACATTGTAGTTACCATGATATAGAGCAGATTTCTTGAACTTATTCTTCCTATCCATTTGCAATTTTGTGTCCGTTGACTAACATCTCTTTTTTATTTTATTTTGTTTTATTTTATTTTATTTTGAGACAGAGTCTCGCTCTGTTGCCAGGCTGGAGTGCAGTAGTGCAATCTCGGCTCACTGCAACCTCCACCTCCTGGGTTCAAGCAATTCTCCTGCCTCAGCTTCCCAAGTAGCTGGGTCTACAGGCGCATGCCACCACACCCAGCTAATTTTTGTATTTTTAGTAGAGACGGGGTTTCACCATGTTGGCCAGGATGATCTCCACCTCTTGACCTCATGATCCACCACCCTCGGCCTCCCAAAGTGCTGGGATTACAGATGTGAGCCACCATGCTGGGCCCCAACATCTCTTAATACCTCCCCACAACAGCCTCTGATAACCACCATTTTACTTTTTATTTCTGTAAGTTTAATATTTTTTAGATTTTACATATGTGAGACCATAGGATATTTGTCTTACTGTATTTTACTTCCTGTATTTTACTTAATATAATGCCCTCAAGGTTCATCAATATTGCCTCAAATGATAGGATTTTTTAGATTTTATTTCATATTCATGATAAGCTAAATAGTATTCCATTGTGTATATATACCATATATTTTTTATCCATCCATTTGCTGATAGACACATATGTTGATTTTATATCTTGGCTATTGTGAATAATGCTGCAATGAACATGGAAGGAGATATATCTTTATTACATATTAGAAATGCTGACCGCCATCTATTTATATATGTGTTATTCTTTTGGTTAGTAGTTCCTTTTTTGAAAATTTTTGTGCCAAAGATAAGACATATTCCTGAAACGATTTACACTCCAGTATTTGTTCTATTGCTCTTACAGCATGCATTTTATCTCTATGTCTAATCTATAACATTAATTTCATGTAGCATCATATTTTAAATTACTTTCTTTTTCTAAGGAACTAAACATTAGAATCACAACTGCTCTTCTTCCATAATCTAGCTTCCTATAAATGCAACAGAAAATAGAGAAAAAATAAAAGACACAAAACTACTTTCTCTAGGGCTTTCCCCCTTATCAATAAATAAATAAATAAGAAGAGGTAACATTTCACTTTTGTTAATTTAGAAAAGTTAGTATCTTTTCCCCATCAATTATTTAACATCTTACAGCAGGCTGGGTATTTACTGCTTTGATTATGCACTACTGCATATTTCTCTGTCTTTCTGTCTTTGCTACTAACATGTGTGTTAGGTAGCCAACTGTGATGGTCAGCATTTTCCCACACACTGAACATACTGAATGAACCATAAACAAAAATTTTAAGAAGGGATTTTTAACCCTTTTATCCACAAATATATGTTAGATCTACCTTTTTTTTTTATTTTAACAGTGCACAATAAAGGTAAATTTCCTGCTTCATTACAAAAGAGCAGAATTTCCATTGCTCAAAATCAAAAGTAATTTTAGCTTCACATAGCGGAGCTATGACAAGGAAAAAGGTTAGAGAATAAATGAAGGTGAAGGCAAGTGTGATTTCTAGGCAAGTTGCTGTATATGGTTACCTCTATTACGCTACAACAATCATTTGCCCCCCTACTTCATCCTGCAACTTTTTAGTAACAAGCCTCTATTTCCACCATATCCCCAAACACATATACCAAAGCCTGCTTATCCCTCATTATTATAGTATTTTAATTCAGGAAAAAGAAATATTTATAAAAATAATGAGTATTTAACTTATAATTTAAGTCTGTGAACTTCACATTTGATATTCCTCAGATTTTTATGAAGATTTAATGTTATAAATGTAGGTGTCATCTTAATAAATGAAGGAATAAAGGTTGCTGTTAAGACTGTTGTACCACTATCTAAACCTAAGGTGAGTTTTCTATAATTTTATAACATGTCTACTGAAAATCCTGGGCTTTTGCCTTTTACTTTTAGAAATCTCCTAAGAAAAACCCCCAAAACTTTAACATTCACTTCCCTAGGTCAGTCATCGAGGTGCTGGTGGTATGCCCCTCATCCGGGTTCTTTGGCTCAGCATCTATTCCCTCTCATTCCATGACTGAACTAAGTACCACATGGTCTATTTGGGTGAAATACATTCCAATGATTTCATCCAGTCTCATTCATAGTATCTGAGCCTCACATTTTTTGCATTGTGCCTAGTTTTTGACACACCCTACTCTGATCCTGCCAGAGCCTTCCCAAATAAAGACTGTGCTCTGTTAGTATATACGGGCCCTATTGTTGGCTCTGAGTCCTAGCCCACTTGAATTTTAATGAAGACTCATAGGCAGTTGTTATGAAACAAACACTATAATGACACCCAGACAAGCTGTAGAGTTATTTTTAAGCAGATGATGTGTGTGGCCCATGCCTCATGCCCACCAAATGATAATAATAGTAACACTATGCAGTAAGTACAGAGAACATTTTTTTCATAAAACTGCATAAATCATAAAATGGTTCCTGCCATTCTTCCACCTTCTATCCACCTTCCTTCCTCTTCACACCATCAGTAGTTGCAGGACTTAGTACTGTGCACCTCACTGGATCCAAGTAACAACCAAAATAAAAAGAAACATTAATTTTAGGCACTCATTAGAGAAAAACGAGGGGTGGCATTACACATGTATACTAAAGAAAAGTATATTTTTAAAAGCAAAACCCAGATTGTCTTTTCAAGAGTCAGAAATGAATTCTTCCATATTTGACATCTTTTTATATTCATATGTATTTGTTCACATATACATTATGTGTTCATATATGCTTATATATATCAATATCAATATGTAGTCATGGCATAGGACCTGAATTAGTGGACTTCAGAAAAGAGATATCTGCCAAGGGCGCTTAGAGGGAAAGAACCATTTTTGGAAATTTAAGAAATGTTATTATAATAATGAGAAAAATGAAGCCCTTTTTGAAGAGTGTCATGTTCAGATATTGATAGATTTAGACTGCCAGGATTACATCCAAATCTTAGTCAATAATCCCAAATTTTGGTTTCATCTGGAAGTTAAACACACTGATTTTTTTCCTTATGCTCGCTATTTGTTCTTCCATTTACTGTTAAGAACTGCAAGGTTGGCTAAACATGGAAACTATTTAAAGAAATCTTATTAAAAAGCCAACTTCCTAAAATTGAAACTTAAGTGAACTCTAACGTCAGAGAAAATCAGCAAAGTGAGATGAATATTTGGGGCAAAACAGATTAAAGAGGAGATTAGAGCTACAAATACTTGTGACAAAATATTTTAAAGCTATATGTATAAATAACTTGCTGTACTTTCTCCATATTTGTAAAAAGATACAATTAAAATTCAGAAAGTACAGGTGGTGTGATGGATTCAGGTACATCTAAGTCAAAGTCACAGCTCAGCTTCTGATATACGTTTCACCTTGGGCGATTTTCATTTTTCTCTTCCCGCTTCCGTAGCCATGAAAAATAGCAAGAAAATAAGGATAAAAATATGTGAGTTTTTAAAAACTATCTAGAATCCGAAGGAGAGAAACAAGAAAGGGAGCTATAATAAGAATATTTAGGCTAAAATTTTTATGTTTGTTTAAAAACTTGTATTAATGTCAGTTTTTCTGTTTCATATATTGTTTTATTTTCTTCCATATTTTCTTGAATTTTGATTCCTAAGTATTTCTATTTCTTATCCATGCTGGAATTCTTTGTATTTTTTCTTTAATTCCTCATTATTCTTATTTTGTGTTCCCTTCTAAGTACTTCATTTTCTATTCATGCCAGCTACTCTCACTTAATTATTAACAACTCAGATTTCTCATCTCTCTGTATCAGCTAAAGGCTCATACTATATCAAATTCTTCTAACTTCTCTCTCAAAAAGCATAGAAGAGTGATTCTGTGAAACTTACACATTTTAAGTTCTGTTATCCACATCAGAATAATGGACAAAGTTCCTATGTATGCTGTATCAGTCTTCTAATTCCAGCTGCTGATCCAGACACCCAGTAACTTTTAGGGTTATTGTATTTTATTGTGGTCTGGACCATACTCACTTCTATATCTTTTAGAGTTCTCTGCAAACTACTTCATTCCACCTTACAGACTCTTCTTTATATATTAAACTATTATATGTGCTAAAACTTTGAAATTGGGGGAAATTGTTTCAGTATTATAGGAATGATAGGAAAATACTGATAATCTCTAAACATCTAAAGTTCATTTTGACAAATCCAATTGATTTTCACATCAATTGAGAAGTCCACAGCAAAGCGTGTGTTCCAACACACATTACTGTATTCTTAGAGATCCTTTGTTGGTGTAAGCCTTCCTTATAATTCCAAGACTAGCCAACATTTCTGAGTTAAATGGTACCCTCTATTTTTCTGATATTCAAGCTCATAGTATAATAGATCTTAACTAGAAATAAAAACTACTAAACAATAAAAAATATACTCAATAAATTAAAATTAAGTAATAGAATAAAAGCCCCTTTGTAACTATTGTCAATTAAGTCAGTAAAGATACAAATGTTTTTGTCAACCATTGCCTCACAGATTCTTGCCCTACTCCACTTTACTTGAAGGTATACCTAAGCCTTTAATATTTTTAATAGTAGTCATCACCCTATATTTTAGTTGTTGCTGCTTTTTCCAGTCTTTCTTAGTAGACTTTGAGGCTCTTAAGAAAAGATGTTATGTTTTCTTTGATTGTGTATCTCTGAGCACTTTTTCCAATGACTAGAAAGTATAGAAGTAGCAGAATAAATATTAATAACTGCTACTTGTTGGACTCCTATTATGTTCCAGGAATTATGCTGAATGTTTTATATAATATATCAGTATGCTCCTTATTGCAACACTACAAGACAGGTATTAGTATCCTCATTTTTCTTATAAAAATTATATCTCATGGAAATTAATTGGCCTAAGTTCACATAGCTTATAAGATAATATTTTAAACAGATTTGTTTCCAAACTTCAAATTTTGTCACTATGCAATAATGATAAATTATTTTCTAATTAAATATATGAATAAATGTATGAATATATAAACATAGAAGTGCATGCATATAAATACACTCACATATATTAATATAACTTTATTTTATTCTTCATGTATGGTTTTTAGATACATATAAAGAAGTTTAAGTTGGAGGGGAAAATAGAACTCTACTTTCTCTGACTTTTTAAATTATTATGTTTGTAGTGAGAATCAAAGTTTACCAAGGAGTATAGGTAATTATGAGTGGTTGCAAAAGAGAAGAGAAAATATCTTTGGCCCATATTCTACCTATAAAGGCTGAAGGTAAGAAGAAGGGTCAATTAGGTTACACTGATTTTAGACATTATTTGGGAGGGGGAATGATTTCTAGATTCAAACTTGAAGACAGTTTATTAGAACTGGTGCTCCCACTCCCCCTGGAAAAGAGAGGACATTGACTGCCACAGGAAATGAATTGGTGCATAGATCTTTTCCTATTACATTAAAATCTGTCACAAGCCTGAGTCTCATTGATGCAACGATCCCTTTTAGGAGATTAAATAAATTGTCTTAACATAAAATACTGCAACTTCTCTGGTGAATAGATGTGACAGTATTGCCCCAGACACTTGAAAAACTTTTCCTACCATACCGGACACCTTCATCCAGGAAAGTGGTTGTCAGATGATTGCTCTTTTTTGTTCCATAGAAAAAGCACATGTAGCACTTTTAGAAAGACAAAACAAACATGTTTTCTGGTTAGGGATCTGAGAAACAAAGAACTTAGATTAGAAAGAAATAAGATAGAAATTCAAAGAATAGCAGGGGAGTCACTCACTGAACCATCAATTTTATTATTTATTTATTTATCTTGAGACGGAGTATCCCTCTGTCGCCCAGGTTGGAGTGCAGTGGCGTGATCTCTGCTCACTGCAAACTCCACCTTCCAGGTTCAAGTGATTCCCCTGCCTCAGCCTCCTGAGTAGCTGGGATTACATGCGTGCACCACCATGCCTGGCTAATTTTGTATTTTTAGTAGAGACGTAGTTTCTCCATGTTGGTCAGGCTGGTCTCGAACTCTTGACCTCAAGTGATCCACTAGCCTCGGCCTCCCAAAGTGCTGGGATTATGAGCGTGAGCCAATGCGCCTGGCCTGAACCTCCAATTTTAGAACACAAGATGTCAAAACTAAATCTTCTGTTTCTTCTTTCTTAGGATTGGCACTCTCAGCAGTTTTTATAGTTGGGTGCTATATACATTCCTTGTAAAGCATAAAATGAATCCAAGAAGGTTTCAAGCATAAACAACTTTGCAAGAACTAAATAAGAAGTTATTTGGGGAGTTTACCCCAAGCTGCTGTGAGAGGACTTCAACTTTACAAATCAATAGAGCAAATGCATTTAACCCATGCAATTCAGCAAAACATATTCTACATATGCAAAGGATGGAAAGAGGTGACTTAAAGACTGTGCTCTGGCTTAATCCCTCAGTGTACAGCCCACCATTGACCCTATTATTTTTTTTTTTTTTGGTTTTTTACAGAGAATGTGGTATCAAATGTTTTTTCATTTGAGAAAAATCAAGCGCTTCTATACCTCTGCTTCCTTGCTTAAAGTAACTACCTAACAAAGCTAAGCAGCACAATGCTCTATGGGATAAATTCTATGAAAAGCAAAGCAAAGTTAAGGAAATGAATATTCACAGCCCAAATTGTGATTCCAAAGAAAAAAAGAAGAATGTCATATACAAGAGAAACAATGAATTGAAGTCAATGTCTTAATTTTTAAATACAATACTTTTTAAAAAGTACCCAGGAACATAGTAGGTTTGTAATACCTGTCATTGCTTTCTGAGATCTTTCTACAGGTGCATAATTTAATCATTCCACCTGAAGTGTCAGGCACATAAAGGTATTATTAGTTAAGAATGAATAGTAGTTTAATTTGAAATAGGAGACTTGAATTTTGTTTTTAGGTATTAAAATAGAGATAAAAATTAAAGTGAATAATTTCATAGTTTTAAATATCCACTTTCCTTTCTATTTTAACTCTAGCTAAGGTGATCTCCCAAAATGTATGACAACATTCATTTTGAGACTATTAAGTTTTAATTTTTTGAACAAGATAGCCCATACAGCATTACAAAGATTTCTAATCTTTTACATTTTTATTGAGAGTAAATTTTAGGAACAAATAGGATTGAAATTAGTTTAGTAAACATATATTCAGTGACTATAATATTTCAAGCATTATTAGGCATTGTGTATAAATAAATTGATAAGCTCTAGTTCTTATTCTTCAGGATCTTACAGACTAGTGGGTGAGATATACATACATAAAGATGTTACATACAATTGGTTAAATGCTAATGTGATATATGTACAGGGTATTATTCATTGTAAGTAATAAAAATTTCTGAGGGAGGTGATAGCTGAGCTGAATTATAAAGGAAAGATAAATGTAAAGAAGGAGCCAGGCATGGTGGTGGGCACCTATAATCCCAGCTACTCTGGGGCTGAGGCAGAAGAATCGCTTGAACCCGGGAGTCAGAGGTTGCAGTGAGTGGAGATCGCGCCATTGCACTCCAGCCTGGGTGACAAGAGTGAAACTCTGTCTCGAAAAAAAAAAATGTAAACAAGGAATAGAAGTAAATCCTGGTAGGCTACAGAGTATGTGAAAAGAGATTGAGGTATAAGAGGGAATAATATAACTGGAGGACTATGTAAAACATTTTTCTAAATCCATTGTTTTTCTTGTTGACTTTCTGTCCTGATGAACTGTCTAGTGCTGTCAGTGGGGTATTGATGTCCCCCACTATTACTGAGTTGCTGTCTATCTATCAATGACTGGATAAAGACATTGTGATATATATACATATATGTACCAAGGGATACTACTCAGCCATAAAAAAAGAATGAAATAATGGCATTTGCAGCAACCTGGATGGGATTGGAGACCATTATTCTAAGTGAAGTAACTCAGGAATGGAAAACCAAACATCATATGTTCTCACTCATAAGTGGGAGCTAAGCTATGAAGATGCAAAGGCATAAGAATAATACAATGGTCTTTGGGGACTTGAGGGAATGGATGGGAGCGGGGTGAGGGATAAAAGACCACATGCTGGGTACAGTGTATACTGCTCGGGTGATGAGTGCACCAAAATCTCAGAAATCATCACTAAATAAGTTATTCATGTAACCAAACACCACCTGTTTCCTAAAAACCTATTGAAATAAAAAAATAGAAAAAAAAACATATTTCTAAAGTATGAACAGAGAGAGGAGTGAGGAACAATTCTGAAAATAACCAGGTTAAATGTTTACTCAATACCATAATACGTATAGTGATTAAGAGTTTGGGCTCTGAAAAAGACTACTTGGGTTTAAATCTTGACTCCAAGGTGTATGTCCTTGAGAGGTCACCTAAACTCTCCATGCATCAGTCTCCCCATGTGTATAAAAAGGTTAATAATAGTCCCTAACTCATAGGGATGCTGTAGGGATTAAATTAGGTAATATATGTAAAGCACTTAGAAAATTAGCTGCCTCAAGGTAAGAACTCCATAAACAATAGCTGTTGTCATGACGCAGACATTCTACTGACTATTGAGAGATTACCATCACCTACCTATATAACACGATCTTTTAACATAAATAAAATCAGCAACAGTATATCAATTACTTCTTAAGACTTTAAATGAGCATGAGTGAAGTGCTGGTATTCTGGGGAGTTCCACATCCATGCAGGAAGTACAAATAATCATAATTATCAACCAGAACAGAGTAAAATTACAAACACACATGAACACACATGACTTCAGAAAATGTAGAAAAATAAATTTTAAATAACGAGTTTTCAGAGAAGAAAGACCACATTTTTCAACAAATTTTCAACAAATAGCAACACCACTTCCCTTTCTGTGAACATTAGCCATGTTGAGAATAAGTAGGCAACAAATGGCAGAATTCCGTTGCAGCATGGTTTTAATAGTTTAATGGGCTGGTATATTGGATTGGAATCTATAGGATTCAGAAACTCAGAGCTGATTTTTTGGCCAGGCACTTCCAAGGGACTTTTGTGGAGAGTGGCAGCACAGAATGCTATGGGCTGATTTGGAACTCAGAGGGTGATCTCCATAGTCTTGTAGTGCTTCAGTCCCAAATGTTTTCTAGAGAGTGTCTGTCTGAAATTATTCAGAATGATCTCACTCTTAAGACATTTAAAATCAGTAATAAACTGAAACTCAGGCTGCAAACCAGACCCAACTCATCTGAATTCCTATTTGGATCAAAATAGTCAACTCTTTATCCTAGCAGATTGACAGAGCAAGGAATGTGCCCTTTCTGGAGAAAATGATTCCAAATTACTTGATGCTATTAAATACGAAGTCTTTTCTACTGTCAAAAATGATGAGACATGAAAAGAAGAGAACAATAAATATATAGAAGCAGACCCACAAATGAATTAGAATTTGGAGTTAGTAGATTATAGACTTTAAAATTATAATTATCAATATGTTAAAAAATTGGAAGAACAGATATACATTCTCAGTAGAGAAATGGAATCTAAAGGACATATTGACATTCTATAACTGAAATTTTTAAAAATCTGAAATTAAGAAATATTTGAATATGGAGCTTAGTAGCAAACTGCACATGGTAGCAGAAAGGATCAAGGAATTTGAAAATAGGTCAATAGAAATTATCAAAATTGAAGCACATAGATTAAGGGAAAAGAAACTAAAAAAAAAAAAAACCCAAAAAACTAAGAACAGCTTGTAAGAGACAAATAGTATAATATAACATTTGTATAACAAGAGTCCCCAAAGACAAGGAGAAACAATTTAAAAATTTGAACAGCCCAGCTATTTAAAATGATCAGGGAGAGGAGGCAGAGCCAGATGGTGAAAAAGAAAGCTCCACCATCAGTCCCCATGAAAGGACATCAAGATAACTATCTACACAGGAAAAAACACTTTCATACAAACCAAAACTCAGGTGAGCACTCACAGTACCTAGTTTCAACTCCATAGTGCTGAAAGAGGCACTGAAGAGATAGAAAAAAATAGTTCTGAATCTTAGGACACCACCCCTCCCCGACCCTCCAGCAGTGACAGCATGGTGCAGAGCACATCTCTGGGCACTGAAAAAGGGGGAGCACAGTAATTGCTGACATTGAACTCAGCGCTGTCTCATCAGAGCAGAAAAGAAAACCAGACCAAACTTAGCTGACACCTGCCCAAGAAGGAGGTGGAATCAGATGGAAATCACTGATCCCAGTGACCTTAAGTGACTGCAACCCATGCCACCAAGGGCTACAGCATTCTGTGTTTCCAAGTAAACTTAAAAGGCAGTCTAGGCCCTAAGGACTGATACCCTAAGGAAGTCCTAGTGCTGAACTGGGCCCAGAGACAGTGGACTGGGAGGCCACATGAACTACTGAGACACTACCTGGAGCAGCCAAGGGAGTGTTGGCATCACCCCTCCCCTAATCTCAGGTTGCATACCTCATGACTCCAAAAGAGACCCCCTTCTTCCATGTGAGGAGAGAAAAAGAAAGAGTGGGGAGGACTTTGTTTTGTATCTAGGACACCAGCTCAGCCACAGTAGGAGAGGCACCAGTCTGACTCCTTGAAATCTCTGTTCCAGGCCCCAGCTCACAGATGACATTTGTAGACACATGCTGGACTAAAAGGGAACCTGTTGCCTTGAAGGAAAGAAGCCAGTCCTAGCAGCATTCATCACCTGCTAACTGAAGAGCTATTGGACCCTTGGTTAACCAGCAGTGACAACCAGGCACTACATCGAGGGGACTGAGTGAACCTCTGAGACTTCCTGGCTTCTAGTGAGACTCCAGATTCCCAGATGTGGTGGCTAAGGGGAAAAACTCCTTTTGCTTGAGAACAGCAGAGGGAAAAGTAAAGAGGACCTTGTCTTGCATCTTAGGTACCACCATGGCCACAGAAAGGTAGAGAACCAGGGGGCTCTTGGGATCCCCAAATTAGGACTTGACTCTTGGACAGCATTTCAGGGCCTCCCCTGGGCCAGAAGGGAGCCCACTGCTCTGAAGCGTGAGTCCCAGGCCAGGCAGCACTCACTACAAGTTGACTTACATGAGACGTTGTTAAGGGAATATCTTTAGTAGTCTGGCAGTACTCCTCATGGCCTGGGGAGCCAGTGGATATGAGGTGAGGATCCTCTGACTTTGGAAAGGGCAGGGAAGAGTAGGAAGGACTGCATCTTGTGATTTGAGTGACAGCTCAACTGCAATACAGTAGAACACCATGTAGGTTTCTAAGGTTTTTGACTGTAGTCCCTGACTTCCAAATGGCACTTCTGAATGCACCTGGGGTCTGGGGGACCTCACTACCCTGAAGGGAAAGACATAGGCCTGGCTGGCTTTGCTACCTGCTGATTGTAGAGCCCCAGGACCTTCAGCAAACATAAGCAGTAGCCAGGGAGTGCTGACAGCAGGCCTTAGGCAAAACCTGGTGCTGTGTTGGCTTCAGAACTGACTCAGTGCAGTCACAGTGGTGGTGGCCACAGGGATGTTTGTGTCACTCCATGCAACACCTTTAGATGGCTCAGAACAGAAAGAGAGACAGAGACTCTGTATGCATGGGGAAAAGTAAGGGAAGTGAGCAAGAGTCTCTGCCTAGGAACCCACTGGATCTTGTCAAGACCATCAAGGTGGTACCTCTGTGAGTTTGAACTACAGGATTACTGGGCTTGGGGTGTCCCCTAAAGCAGATAGAGCTTAGGTCACAACATCCAAATATTTTCAAATATCTGGAAATCCTCCCCAAGAAGGGCAACTACAAGTAAGCCCACACAGTGATGACTACAATAAATACATAACTTTTCAATGCCCAGACATCAAAGAACATCTACTAGCATCTACACCATTGAGAAAAATATGACCTCACAAAATGAACTAAATAAGGGACCACGGACCCATCCTGGAGAGATAGAGTTATGTGACCTTTCAAACAGATAATTCAAAATAATTGTGTTGAAGAAATTCAAAGAAAATAACACAGAGAAGGATTCCAAATTCTATCAGATAAATTGAACAAAAAGATTAGAATAATTAAAAAGCATCAAGCAGAAATTCTGGAGCTGAAAAATGCAAATGGCATAGTGAAGAATGCATGAGGGTTGTTTAATAGCAGAATTGATCAAGAAGAAGAAAGAATCCATGAGCCTGAAGACAGGATATTTGAAAATACACAGTCAGAGGAGACAAAAGGAAAAAGAATAAAAAACAATGAAGCATGCCTACCTGATCTAGAAAATAACATTAAAAGGGCAAATCTAAGAGTTATTGACCTTAAAGATGAGATAGAGAAAGAGATAGGGATAGAAAGCTTATTCAAAGAGATAATAACAGATATTCCCAAACCTAGAGAAATATATCAATATCCAAGCACAAGAAGGTTATAGAATACCAAGCAGATCTAAGCCAAAGAAGACTACCTCAAGGCATTTAATAATCAAACTCCCAAACATCAAAGATAAAGAAAGGATCCTAAATGCAGCAAGAGAAAAGACATAACAAACAATGGAGATCCAATATGTCTGGCAGCAGACTTTTCAGTGGAAAATTTACAGGCCAGGAGACAGTGGCATGACATATTAAAAGTGCAGAAGAAAAAAAAATTACCCTAGAATAGTATATCTGGCAAAAATATCCTTCAAACATAAAGGATAAATAAAGAATTTCCCAGACAAAAGCAGAGGTATTTCATCAGTACCAGGCCTGTCCTACTAGAAATGCTAAAGGGAGTACTTCAAACAGAAAGAAAAAGACATTCAGCAGCAATAAATAATTATCTGAAGGTACAGAAATCACTGATAATAGTAAGTGCACAGGAAAACACAGAATATTATAACACTGTAACTGCGATGTATAAACTAGTCTTATCCTAAGTAGAAAGACTAAACAACGAACCAATAAAAAATAACTACAACAACTTTTCAAGACATAGTCAATATGGTAAGATAAAAATAGAAACATAAAAACATTAAAAAGTGAGGAAATGAAGTTAAGGCATAGAGTTTTTATTAGTCTTTTTCCTTGTCTGTTTGTTTATGCAAATAGTGTTATGTTGTTATCAGGTTAAAATAATAAGTTAAAAGATTATGTTTGCAAGCCTCATGGTAACCTCAAACCAAAAAACATGATGAGTATACAAAAAATCAAAAGCAAGAAACTAAATTATATCACCAGAGAAAATCACCTTCACTATAGGAAGATAGGAAGGAAAGAAAGAAGGAAGGAAGAGAAGATCACAAAGCAACCAGAAAACAACAAAATGGCAAAAGTCTTTTCTCATCAATAATAACATTGAATGTAAATGGAATAAACTCTCCAATCAAGACATAGACTTGCTGAATGGATGAAAAAAACAAGACCCATTCATCTGTTGTCTACAAGAAACACACTTCACCTATAAAGACACACATAGACTGAAAATAAACAGATGGAAAAAGATATTTCATGCCAATCGAAATAAACAAACAAACGAGGAGTGCTATACTTAAACAAAATAAATTTTAAGACAAAAACTACAAGAAGAGACAATGTTAGTCACTATATATTGATATAATGGACAATTCAAAAGAGGATAAAACAATTTGAAATATATATGCACTAAACACTGGAGCACCCAGACACATAAAGGAAATATTATTATAGCTAACGAGAGGAATAGGCTCTAATACAATAAGAGCTGGAGACTTCAACACCCCATTTTCAGCATTAAACTGATCTTCCAGACAGAAAATCCACAAAGAAACATCAGATTTAATCTTCACTACAGACCAAATGAATCTAATAGGTATTTACAGAACATGTCATCCAAGAGCTGCAGAATACACATTCTTTTCCTCAGCACATGAATCATTCTCAAGGATACACCATATCATTAGGACACAAAACAAGTCCTGAAACATTCAAAAGAAATTGAAATAATATCAAGCATCTTGTCTGACCACAATGGAATAAAACTAGAAATCAATAACAAGAGGAATTTCGGAAACTATACAAATACATGGAAATTAAATAATATGCTACTGAATGACTAGTGGGTCAATGAAGAAATTAAGAAGGAAATTGAAAATTCTCTTAAAACAAACGATAATGGAAACAACATGCCAAAACCTATGGGATACAGCAAAAGCAGTACTAAGGGGGAAGTTTATACCTATAAGTGCCTACATTAAAAAAAGGAAAATATTCAAATAAACAATATAATGGTGTATCTTAAAGAACTAGAAAAACAAAAGCAAACCAAACCCCAAATTAACAGAAGAAAATAAATAATAAAGATCAGTGCAGAAATAAATGAAATTGAAATTTTAAAAAATACCAAAGACCAATGAAACAGTGGATTTTTTGAAAAGTTAAACAAAATTGAGAAACCTTTAGCCAGACTAAGAAACAAAGATAGAATATCCAAAAAAATAAAATCAGAAATAAGAAAGCAGATATTACAACTGATACTATAGAAAATCAAAGAATCATTAGTGGCTACTATGAGCAATTATATGCCAATAAAGTGGAATATTTAGAAGAAATATACAAATTCCTAGATACATGTAACCTACCAAGATTGATCCAGGAAGAAATCCAAAACCTGAACAGACCAACAACAAGTAATGAGATAGAAGCCATAATAAAATGACTGGGCAGGATGGCTCATGCCTGACATCCTAGCATTTTGGGAGGCCAAGGTGGGTGGATCAGTTGAGGTCAGAAGTTTGAGACCAGACTGGGCAAAATGGTGAAAATCTGTCTCTACTGAAAATACAATAATTAGCCGGGTGAGGTGGCATGCACCTGTATTCCCAGCTACTCTGGAGGGCACAAAAATTGCTTGAGCCTGGGAGGCAGAGGTTGCAGTGTGCCGAGACTGTGCCACTGCACTCCAGTCTGAGTGATAGAGCAAGACTCTGTCTTAAAAAAAAAAAAAGCCATAATATTCTCTCAGTAAAGAAAGCCCAGAACCTGATGGCTTCACTGCTGAATTCTACCAAATGCTTGAAGAAGAACTGATACCAAACCTATTCAAACTATTCCAAAAAATAGATGAGAGAATACTTTTAAACTCATTCTATGAGACCAGTATTACCCTGTTATGGAAACAAAGATATATCAAGTAAAGAAAAATACAGGCCAATATATCTGATGAGTATTGACTCAAAAATCTTCTACAAAAATACTAGCAAACCGAATTCAACAATACATTAGAGGCCAAGCGTGGTGGCTCACACCTGTAATCCCAGAACTTTGGGAGGCTGAGGCAGGTGGATCACCTGAGGTCAGGAGTTTGAGACCAGCCTGACCAACAGGGCGAAACCCTGTCTCTACTAAAAACTCAAAATTAGCCAGGTGTGGTGGTGCATGCCTGTAATCGCAGTTACTTGGGAAGCTGAGGCAGGAGAATCGCTTGAATCTGGGAGGTGGAGGTTGCAGTGAGCCAAGACTGCACCATTGCACTCCAGCCTGGACAACAACAGTGAAACTCTGTCTCAAAAGAAAAAAAAATACATTAGAAAGGTCATTTATCATGACCAAGTAAAAAATATTCCTGGGATGCAAGGATGGCTCAACATGTGCAAACCAATGTGGTATACCAACAGAATGAAGGATAAATACCATATGATTATTTTAATTGGTGTTGAAAAAGCATTCATCCTTTCATGAGAAAAATATTCAAAACACTGGAGATAGAAGGAAGATACCTTAACATGATACAAGCCATATATGACAGACCCACAGCTAGTATCATACGGAATGGGGAAAATTAGAAAGGCTTTCCTCTAAGATCTGAAACATAACAAGGATGCCCACTGTCACCACTGTTATTCAACATCGTACTGGAAGTCCCAGCTACAACTATCAGACAACAGAAAAAAATAAAGAGCATCCAAATTGGAAAAGAAGAAGTGAAATTATTGTGTTTGCAGATGATATGATCTTATATTTGGAAAAACTATAAGACTCAAAAAGAAACTTATTAGAACTGATAAACAAATTCAGTCAAATTGCAGAATACAAAATCTACATACGTACATCAGCAGCGTTTTTTAAATACCAACAGTAAACAATGTGAAAAGGAAATTAAAAAAATCCCATTTACAATAGCCACACACAAAATTAAGTACTAGGAATTCACTTAACAAAAGAAGTGAAAGATTTCTTTAATGAAAACTATAAAATACTGATGAAAGAAATTGAAGAGGACATCAAAAAATGAGAAACTATTCCATGTTCATGGATTGGAAGAATCAACACTGTTAAAATGTCCATACTACCCAAAGCAATCTACGGATTCAATGAAATCTTCATCAAATTACCAATAACATTCTTCACAGAAATACAATGAACAATCCTGAAATTTATATGGAACCACAAAAGACCCAGAATAGCCAAAGCTATTCTAAGCAAAAAGAACAACTGGAGGAATCACATTACCTGACTTCCAATTATACTACAGGACTACAGTGATCAAAACTAGCATAAAATACATGCACATAGACCAATAGAACAGAATAGAGGACGCAGAAACAAATTCATCTATAGTGAACTAATTTTTGACAAGGCTGCCAGGAACACACACTGGGGAAAAGACAGTCTCTTTAATTAATGGTGTTAGAAAACTGGATTTCCATATTCAAAGAATGAAACTAGAGCCCTATCTCTCCCCACATAAAAAATCAAATCAAAATATATTAAAGCCTTAAATCTAAGACCTGAATCTGTGAAACTACTACAAGAAAACATGGAAGGAAAATCTCCAGGACATTGGTCTGGGCAAAAATTTATTGAGTAATAACCCACAAGCACAGGCAACCAAAGCAAAAATGGAGAAATGGGATCACATCAAGCTGAAATGCTTCTACACAGCAAAAAATACAGTCAGCATAGTGAAGAGACAACCCACAGAATGGGAGATAATTGCAAACTACTCATCTGACAAAGAATTAATAACCAGAATATATCAGAAGCTCAAACAACTATACAAAAAAAAAAAACAACTAATAATGTGATCAAAAATTGGCAAAAGATTTGAATAGACATTTCTCAAAAGAAGACACACAAAGGGCAAACAGGCTCAACATCACTGGTCATCAGAAAAATGCAAATCAGTGCGATGTCATCTCACCCCAGTTAAAATGGCTCATATCCAAAATACAGGCAATAACAAACACTGGCAAAGATGCGGAGAAAAGGGAACCCTGTACATTGTTGGTGAGAATGTAAATTACGCAGTCACTTTGGAGAACAGTTTGGAGGTTCCTCAAAAGACTAAACGTTGAGCTACCATTATGATCCAGCAACCCACAGCTGGGTATATACCCAAAAGAAAGGAAATCTGTATATTGAGGAGATATCTGCACTCCTATATTTGTTGCAGCTGTATTTACAATAGCTAAGATTTGGAAGCAACATAAGGGTACATCAACAGATTAGTGGATAAAGAAAATGTGGCAAGTATACACAATGGAGCAATGGAGTACTATTCAGCCATATAAAAGAATGACATATAGTTATTTGCAACAACATGGATGGAACTGGAGATCATTATGTTAATTGAAATAAGCCAGGCATAGAAAGAAAAACAGCACATGTTCTTAATTATTTGTGGAATCTAAAAATCAAAACAATTGAACTCATGGACAGAGAGAGTAGAATGATGGTTACTGAAGGCTTGGAAGGGTAGTGCAGTGTGGGTGCTGTGGGTGAGGTGGGGATAGTTAATGGGCACAAAAAATTAGAAAGAATATAGAAGACCTACTATTTGATAGCACAATAGGATGACTATAGGCAATAATAAATTTTTTGTACATTTTAAAATAACTTAAAGAGTGTAATTGGATTGTTTGTTACTCCAAGGAAAAATACTTGAGGGGATGGATACTTCATTCTCCATGACATGATTATTTCATATTGCCTGCTGTATCAAAACATCTCATGTACCCCACAAAGATACAAACCTACTATGTATCCACAGAAGTTAAACATAAAAATTTTTAAAAAAGAAATAAAATGCTCAAAGAATACATGTAAGATAAGTACAAATAAAACTGCATTAGATATATCATTGTCAAATTAGTGAACAACAAGTTTAAAGGAAAAATATCCTTAAAAAATAAATAGTTGGCCAGGCGCAGTGGCTCACACCTGTAATCCCAGCACTTTGGGAGGCCGAGGCTGGCAAACCACTTGAGGTCAGGAGTTTGGGACCAGCCTGGCAAACATGGTGAAACCCCATCTCTACTAAAAATACAAAAATTAGCTGGTCATGGTGGCGGGCCCTGTAATCCCAGCTACTTGTGAAGCTGAGGCAGGGGAATCACTTGAACCCGGGAGGTGGAGGTTGTAGTGAGCCAAGATCGTGCCATTGCACTCCAACCTGAGTCACAGAGCAAGACTCCATCTCAAAAATAAATAAATTAATTAAATAAACTGAGTTAAAAGACGCTTTACATTTACGTTTACAAGAGAACAACAACAGCAAAAAAGATGGTTGACATCTCATCAGAAACAATGCAAGCCAAAAGATAATAGAATGCCAACTTTAAAGTGATGAGAGAAAAATAAAAATAAAAATAGCTGTCAACTAGATTTCTACACCAAGTGAAAGTATCCTCAAAAATAAAGACAAAAGGAAGACATTTTCAAACAAAAGCTAAAAGAATTTGTTGTCAGCAAACTCAAAGTGTAAGAAATTCTAAAGGCAAATACTGAGTAGTTTAAAGTTCAGTACTGATTATTCCTTGAATATACAACTGAATTCAGTAATGCTAGATATTGTCATTGTTGTTTATGTAATGCTAAACATGAAAGCCACTAAATTATTACTCTTGACACAGAAACTTATGACCTATTAATTTATATTATCTCATAAATTTGTTTCTGTGCTTAAGCCCAGATGAAAGCTGTCCAGGTAAAGGCCCAGGGGATCAAGAACTTTAAATTAGGTGAAGACAGTCCTGACCTAAAGTCATTTGGTATGAAATACAATAAAATCTGATCCATCAGCAGAACAGAAGAACGCCAGCATATGTGCATCTTCTCCATTCATCAGCCAAGTTCTATTTTTAATTCTACAGATATTGTTTTGTTGCTATTATACACATAGGTGTTAGTTTCTAGCCACACTGTCATGTAAGTTCATTGCTGCAGTCTCTTTCCCTGGTTTTCAGTTTATATTTTTAGTTCCATGGTGACAAGCTAGCAATATCTTGTGAGAAACTAAGGTAAGTCAAGATTCTCACTATTCATTACCATTTGAAATTCAATTTTCAACCCTTCTAGCTTAGGGAAATTTTTAAAATGAATAAAATGACCTCTAGGAAAGATAGACAAGGTCAGACAAGGTCATTCAAATCAATCCTTGTACTGATGACAACTAGAACCACTAACTGGCTTTCTTACTTTCTCTCTCTCTCAATTTGTGTGTGTGTGTGTGTGTGTGTGGTGTGTGCATGTGTGTGTGGTGTGTGCTCTGTGCGTGTGTGTGTGTGTGTGTGTCCGTGTATAATCCTCTTTGTAGGCATCAGAGAATTACCAGAGCTGGAAAAAATTGTGGGTCAAGAGCTAAGAGAAAAAGGAAGTCCTTCTGGGGCCACTTATTATTTAGGAATACTGCTAATTTTGAAAGCAGGAGCTGAGAAACCAAGATGCTGAGGAGTACTTTTAACAGACTTTCAGGACTGGGTGTGGGGCCAGGGATGAGGAAATTGACATTAGAGCCACTAGGATACCCCTGATAAAAGCCTCAGTGTTTTGTCAGTATGCCAAATGGCTACATTCAGGAAGAAGGATAAACAGGAAATAAGTTAGATCTCGTAACGATGAGAGTTTCAACTCATCTCAATTTATGACTGGATTAATGTAATCTGTGTTTGCAAATGCTCCTAGACACCAAACAGAATTTTTTTTTTTTTACTAGAGAAAGATAATACTGTTCAAAATTGCAATTTATTGCTAACATTTATGTCATAATGACTGGTAATAAAGTTAAAAAAAAAAAACCAGAAATGCGGGCATGTGAAGAGGCAAAGTAATCGAACCCAAACCATGATATGAAGAAACAGATCATAGAAATAATATCTTTAAGATTCTGAAAGATACTAGCTGCTAACCTAAAATTCTATTATTTAACAATAAAGGTAAAATGAAAACATTCAAAAACAAACCTTGAGGAAATGATACTACTGGTCCTGCACAAAAAGGGAAAAATATTTTCTTGAAGCATAAGTGAAATTACTCCAGATGCAAACCCAGAAAAAGGAAGAATAAAGAGTAATTGAATGATTTAAGATGTGGATAAATCTAAATTAATACTGACTATTTGAAATAATAGTTCGGTCTCTGGGGCTTAATACATATTTATAAATTGATTGGACAAAAAATAGCATTCAATCAGAAAAAGTGTAAATGAAATGAAAGTATACTAAAATCCTGATGCTGTCTAGGAAATTATAAACATAATTTATGTTAGATTGTATCAATCTTTAAATAATGGAAGAATAATAAAAGATTGTGTATATGAAAACCAACTGATATGAAGGGGAAATGGCACCAAAAATATGCAATCTATCTAGAAAAAAGAGTGAAGAGAAGAAAGTCAATATAGAAGAGATAAAAACAGAGAGATAAAGTAAAATGATAGACTTAAAGGTAAATATATTATACCCATATTAAATATGAATAGACTATTCCAGTACAAGGAAAAGGGTTATCAGACAATAAAAATTTGGGGAAAAGCCCTGCTATTTATGAGACATATCTTCCATAGAAAAATGCAGAAAAGTTGAAAGTAAATGGATGCAAAAAGACATACCCTTTATGATATCAAACCCTGATAAGAACATAAGATTTCAGGTTAATGTCGCTGATGAAAAAAGAAAAAACTGTAAAATACTATTATTTTAACTTTCATGAGTTTCCTCTCTCCGTTATGGACCAATTAAAACATTTTCAAATGCCAGCACTTGGAATTTACCCTTGCGTATTTTCTTAGGATGTATCCAGAAATATTTCTCTATGTACTCCCATTCCTAACATGGTCTTCATTCCTGGGTTCCTGAACCCTGTCTTCATACATGTGTACTGTTCCAGGGATTTATTTTTGATCTAATGGTATATATCACATGATGAGCATCTAATTTGGTTACCTTCCTTGACATTATGCTGGCCTCTGATAGTGACCAGGTGTTCCTGGTTCACTCATACACATGTAATTAATACACCTAGGTTCCTCATGTTGATATTTTGAGGTATTTTGTCTTTCTGTGTATCAAATGTTGCTTTTATTTCTGGCACTTTTGTTTTTCTTTTTTGTTGTTGTTGTTTAATAAGAAAATTGTACAGCATACTTTTCAGCACAACGTATTTATTTAGGGCAAAAAGTTGATAAAAACTACAAGTGGTAATAATCATTTAGTTACCATAAATGTTGTCTCTAGATAGTGTTAACTTGACTATATTTTAACAACCAAATTATTTCTCCCCAAAACAGATATAAACATTTTCAAAATTCAGTTAATCTTTGTGTAATTCATTCAAGGATTTTATAGCAGTTTTTGTAGTCTTTCATAATAACATTCCAGGGTTTCTTTAATAAATGTTCTTCTTGAACCAATGGTTCATAATTTCCTAAGGATTACAGAAAAAAAACAACTAAATGAATAACGAGATACCATGTATCTAGATAAAAAGATGAAATATTATAAAGATATGAGTGCTTCCCAAATTAATCTATGACCTTATTGCAATCTTAAAGAATATATCAGAAAGTTTGTTTTTTCATATCTGACAAAATTGTTCAGATAATTTTCTGGAGGATATATTTGAAGGATGTGAAACATTTGAAAAATTAACATTATGCCATATGTAAAAATTACTAAATAAATTAAATTAGAATTATATCAACAGCAAAGAAGAGAAAAACCAGAAACAGATAAAATTATATTTAATAATTGAGGATATAATAAATATCACATGCCAAATCCATGGAGAAAGAATTAAAGAGCATTTGGAAAACTTTTAATCATTGGGAAATAAAATTTGATTCCTATATCATATCATACATCAAAATTCTAGATGAATAAAAGATCTAAATAAAAACACTAGAATAAATATTAATGTTAATTCTGTTATTTGAAATAAAAAATTATGTATGATCTCACCAAAATAGAAAGTATGAAGGAAAAGATTGTCACATTTCACTATTAAAAATACCAAATAAAAAACCTTATCTTATTTGTAACATATATGAGGACAAAGAATCAGTATAATTAATATGTAAATATTTCTCACAAATCAAGAAAAAGTCACCAGTAACAAGTTGGACAAAGTGGGGAAAAGCAAAAATTAACCAAAAGAAGAAACACAGGAAAAAATTTCACATCATCAATAATTAATAAATACAAATTTAAACAATGAAATATAAATATTATCTTTCAAGCTAGAAATGACATCTAATGAGGCTCAGAATCTGGAGAAAATTACTTTTCACAATACCAGAGTAAGGTAAATCAGTATATTTTCTATGAAAGAATTGACGATACATATCACAAGGGTTAAAATATTTACCACTCTTTGATCTATCATAGGGAAACAATCATGAAAGTACAGAATATTTGGCTATGAGAATACACACTGTTTATGATAGTGAAAAATTGGAAGTACCTTAAAAAGACTACTTAAGCAACGTATGATAGACAGATTTAATGAACAGTATGCAGCCGTTAAAAATAAAACCCTGGATCATATTAATGGAATAAAACGTGATAAAATTTGTGCTAAGTCATATACAGTGTAACTACCCGAAAATATGGGCATGTGTCCAATTAGCAGTAGAAAAATTATGCATGTAATTTTTTTCCTTAATTTGCCTACCTGTTTTTCCTAATATATTAACACTTAACATATAAAATGGGGGGAAGTTATTGCTAAATTAATTATTAATATATGCCTTCTTCATAGAAAGTCTCAAATTTCCAAGTGGATAGTGTTTCTGTGTATCTATCTATGCTCTGTCGGAGTTTGGATAACAGTAGCTCTAATCTCAACTAAATCTTGCAGGATTTTATTTTTATCTTCCTGCCCACCAGAAACATATTTCTTTAAACAACCCAGTATATTTCCAAGTAACTTTTGTTGAATTTAACCTCCTTCAGTTTGCTTTTACCCTTAATACACTCAGTTTAATTCTCCTTATAGTAATAATAAATTCCCCAGTGGTAGATGATTGAGACAGCTTCCTTACACCACTTTTTATTCTCCTTTTAGTTTAACTGGAGACCTAGGCAGTGATTACAACCTTGAAAATTCCACAGCTTTTCTGTCACTTCAAGAGTGATGTTGTGTTCTTTAATGAGAGTATAAGATACTTGAGCACTGGAAATCTGCAATGCTTTTAGATCTTCTTGGCTAAGGACAACTGTGTTTTACAGGGAATGGACAAAGAAAGCAAGCAAAGAAAAGTCATAAAATCCATAAGAAAATGGCATTTATTCCCAAAATTAACAGAAAGAATATAAACCTCATTCTTTCATCCGTGCTACCCAGCTATATAATATGTGCTTACTGCATTTTTTCCTCTTTATCATGATTTCTTAGGTAATGTATCTCTCACCTCTGCTAAAAGTAAATGCTTTGTGATCAGAGCATTTGCTTTATTCATTGCTATAGTTTCAATCCCCACTTCCTCAGAGCATAGAGTGATCACTCAACCAATGAATGCATAAATGAATGTGTCAATTGATCATTCTAACACTGGCTCTACCACTTTCAACTCTATAACTTTAAGATGGTCATCTAGATCTTTGAGTTAATTTTCTCATTTCTGTAATAAAATATATTACCATATACTTCATGAGATTATAAAGATCAAATGAAGCAATTAGAACATCCTGTTTATTTGCAAAAAAAAAAAATCCTTTGTATTAGATGCTCAATAAATACACATAAGTGATTCCAATTCTAACATTAGTACTGAACCCAAACAAGGGTTTTTATGTATAAGAAACCCATTTTTTATGTATAAGAGACCTATTTTTTATGTATAAGAGACCCATTTGCAAAAAGTCTTACACAGGTTTAGGCAACATGCTTTCTCTTTATTCTTATTTTAACTTCCTTCACAACCATGCTATCACTGATGGTGCTATACTTTAAAATTTTCATAGAAATCATACACTCATTCCTAACATTTACATATAGAGCAATTTGGAAGTTTATCTCTTGTTTATTAGATTGTGATGTCATCCAGAACACGTTGTCTTGTTCGTATTTGTGTTCTCAAGATTAAATATAATCTGAGAAGATATTCCAAGGTTAGTGTTTAACACGTGTTAGTGCTTAATACAATTTTTTGAACGAAAAAAATGAAAAGGAATTAAGGAAAAGAACTTCCAAATGCTTCTCATCCCCTCCCCCAAAATATGGAATAAGTCTTGGTATAGTTTGTAGCATTAGAAATGTTATGAAAATAATTGATATGAGTTGTATGATTAAAGCTGACCCAACCAGTTTTCTAGGTTCTAGTTTCCTGGTCCTTGTCCTGGAACTAAACTTTGGTAGGTAGGAAGTATGTTCTAGTTATTCAATTTTACTATGTGGAAGGAAGACCATGGGATTTCAAATTAATTTTGACAGATATGACAAATGGGGGTTGCCATTTCACACCTAGAGCATGAATATTTCAATGGCAAAAAGTCAGCGACTGTTAATTAAAAATGGGTATTGTTAATTGGGACCAGTGTTGTGGTTTTGTCAGCAGCTTCAGACCCTTTCAGACCTATTTCAGTTGATCCTATGATCAGATAAGATAAATGTCTTTTCTTTCTGGTGTGGATGATAGCAATTATGACTCAGATTTTTTTCTTTTATCATATTGGTTTTATAGGTATATATAATTTAGCATAATGGAGAAACACACAAGAATTAAATTCAGCTGAATCCAAAATATCGAAACACAGCAATATTGTAGATACTAACTTCCCAATTTTCTGCAGTGTAAAGACAAGAAATAGCCCAGCAAACTGATGAAGCTATAATTTGAAGATTATTTCCTTCCTTCCTGTCTTTCTTTCTTTTTCTTTCTTTCTTTCTCTTTCTTGCTTGTTTGCTTGCTTGCTTCTTTCCTTCTTTCCCTCTTTCTCCTTCTTTCCCTCCCTTCCTTCCTTCCCTCCTGCCTTCCTTCCTTCCTTCCTTCCTTCCCTCCCTCCCTCCCTCCTTCCTTCCTTCCTTCTTTCCTTCCTTCTTTCCTTCTTTCCTTCTTTTTGTTTCTGACAGAGTCCAACTCTGTTGCCCAGGCTGGAGTGCAGTGGCATGATCTCGGCTCACTGCAACCTCCACCTCCTGGGTTCAAGCAATTCTCCTGTCTCAACCTCCCAAGTAGCTGGGATTACAGGTGTCCACCACCACACCTGGCTAATTATTGTATTTTTAGCAGAGACAGGGCTTCAACATGTTGGCCTTGTTGAAGGCTTGTCTCAAACTCCTGACCTCAGGTGATCCACCCACCTTGGCCTCCCAAAGTGCTGGGATTACAGGTGTGAGCCACCACGCTTGGCCTGGAAGATTCTTTTAACACCACAAAAGAAAAAAAAAGGAAAGAAATTTTAGTTAAAATGAGTTAAAATAAAAAATCATTTTCCTTTAGGCTATTCCAATCCATAAATGCTCAATTCTCCAATTTATTTTTTGCCTTCAAAATGTATAATTGACACAATGAAATATTCTAATGTACAAGTAGTAGTTTCCTTTGTACACAAAGAAGAAATAATTTTTAGAATAATTGTGTACTGGAACAGAATATCAACTAGTCTAATATTAACTCATTTCTCTCATTAACATCAATTTAGCAAAACAAAAAGGAAGCTTGGAAGTATATATTTGGATCTTAAATTTCATTTTAAAATTATTCTGTGGCTCTAGTAGGTTAACTGGAAGATTATCTCACAATATTTCTATGTCTCTAATGAGCATGAGGAAGCTAATGAGAGTGTGTTTATATAGGGGATGTTTGATGGCTGGGGTAAGGGGCGGGCGGGGCAACATGAAAAACTAGTTGCTCTAGACAGCTAGTCTTCTTCATTTGTTTCACTCAGAGGATTCTCTGATTCAATTATTTTAGGAGCCAATGACCAATATATTGCAGAAAGAAACACTCCAAAGCGACTCAGAGTGTGCACATTTGAAGACAAAACATTATTCCCTCTTATTGGCTAGATATTCATTTAAGCCAAGCAAATGTTATTAACATAGTGAAGCAATCAAGCTCAATGGTGCAAATGCTCAAAGAGGCCTTGCCTGGTCTACTCTAAATCAGGTAAATCTCTCTTAATTATCTTTCATAGACCCTTTTAAATATCTTTCACAAAATTGTTCACAATTTTTAATTACACACACACATCATATATATGGAAAGAAAAAAATATATATATATAATGCTGAAAGCTCTGTAAGATAAAGTAACGCATCCCTTTTATTTATGCATATGCCTGTGTATAACCAGTACTTGCATGGTATCTGGTGCAGAGTTGTTGTTCAGAACATTATATGTTTATTCAGCAAGTATAAATGAAAGAATGAAACAATGAGAGTTCTGAGATTTTATGTTAGCCTGAGAAACCTGAAAGGCATAAATTAGTATTATCACTGTCATTATTTTCTCATAACTATTACCTAAATCATCATAAAAATTATACAAATATGGAAACTATGGAAGAAACTCCTATTTAGAGGCATTTGACTTATATTTCAATCAATGTAGAAATGGGTACTCTTGAAATTCTTAAAATTTTTATTTACGTATCTACACCAAAACAAAATGAAACAAAGTGCTAATATAATGAGCAAATGAAGAACATTCTTATAATAAATATTAGAATCAATTTCTCTGATTATTTGTGGTAATGTACTTATATTTAAATTATGGTCTCTATATATCTCTCTTATACACACACATACACACACTCACAAAAAGCACCGTTATTTTCATTTTACTCTTTTTCAGCTAATAAGCATCAAATACAAAGGTCCTTCCAGATGGACCTTAGGCACATTACAACCTCCTGAAGTCATCAGAATGATATTGCTAATGTCTGACCTAAAATTTCCAGTCCTAGGGTTGTGTATGTTGTTAAATTCCCACTCAATCTCTGGCATTCTGGAGTTGCTAGCACTGCTGCCTGGATGCAAAAGTGACTTTTATCAATCTTAAGATTTTTTTGCTAGAAAACCATTAATTCATTTTATATCCGCTACTGACAGCTATCAAATAATAATAACAATAGGTCTACATCAGGCTGGTTTGTATTCAATCTTTTCATCTATGAGGGAAAGATTCCATCTCTATTACCAATGCCCTGAGCCAAAAGAAATCCCAAAGTAGATTTACTCATAACTGAACCTTGGTGACCAGAAATATGCTAATAAACGTTAAACTGGAAAGGTAGGATTTCATAAAGCTTTTGTCTCTAATCCTCCAAGTAGGGAAGTTGGTTCTGCTGCAGAGTTAATTAGCATACATGTGGAAGCAGTTTATGGATGCGGTTTAATCCCAAACAAATGTGAAAATAAGCTCACATTGTTTTGTAGAATGATTTACATTCATTATCATCTACTTAAAAAAAACCCACATGCTTTAAAAAAATCATTATTCCTTCCAGAATATCAGTGAATAAAGCAATTCCATATTTGTACTTTTGAAAATTATGTATTTCCAGACAAGGTCATATTTCCTCAAATTGAAATAAAGTATAAACTTTGGTCTCAAGCTATGGTTTCCAAACTTTATCCAGGTACAGAGACATTACTGAGTGACATAGGACTTATGAAGTGAGTTAACAGATTTAATTGACTAGACATCATAGAAAACCAAACTTTTTTTACTAGTTCCTATGAAAGATATTTTGGAACTTCATTATATGAGATCTCTGTAAAAGTCTCATGATGGAAATAGTGCTAATACTCATATTACTCTGATCATGAAATAACAAGTCTGATATTTCAATATGGGTTATAAAACTGTCTCATGGTTTGTGATCATGGTTTCAGGGGACACAGTTTCACCAGAGGTATAGTTGTAACTTACAGTTGTAATGATGAATAATATTATAAAGAAGTTTGACAAACTGGGAATCTAACATCAAAATGAATATACTATAAACAGTTGGCTGCCTCAGGATTTACCTGAAATAATCCAATTGGGATTATCAGAAGGAAAATGGAACCTCTTCACTCTCGGTCTTCTTGAACTATTGTACTAAAAACAATGCCAAAACTCAAGTGACCTATAGACATGGTATTGAGGCAATAGTTAACTCAGAGATTCCATTTGTAAAACACTAGATCAACTTACATATGGTTCAAGTATAAGCCTTTATTCAATCCACAAATATTTAGGGTACCTACTGTGTGCCAGGCACGTGACTAAAGCCTATCATGCAGGGGTGAATGAGAAGGTTAGTGTTCCTGTTATTCAGAGGGTTATGGCCTCATGGGGAAAATAGTTATGTAATATGGAAACTGTTAACTGTGAAATAAACTTTATGATAAGAAAATTATAGGGTCATCATAATCTACTGGAGAGCCATGTAACTTTGGGAGATGGTGGCAAGTGCATCAGGAATGATTTGTCAAGGTAACTAATTTGAGAATGAATGGAATGCACAGAAGATAACTAGGGGAAGAAGAGAGGGTGTCTTCTGAATAGACTCTTTCTGGGAATGGAAAGTATTCGCTATGGCTGGAATTTCAAGTTTGAATGAGAGAGGTTGGTAATGCAGGATGCTGGAGAGATAAGTAGGGGTCAGTCCTGGAGGCATATTAAAGACTTTCAATTCTATCTTTTGTCTTAACCTCTTGCCTACACTGATGCTATGCTACTGTAATATTTATTGACTGTTTCACTATATGTCAAACAGTGCATTTAGCACATTGCTGAATGTTAAAATTACTCATCTTCTCAAGTAGAATTTTTGAAATAATAGATCTGTCTTAGACCCAATGAAAAGGTGTTGGTTATAGAAGATTCAAAACAAGGCACCTATAATTTCTTAGTTTCAATACTATTTGTTCCCACAATATAGACCCATAGGAGTCTATTGGAGTATATTGCTAGTGTTCAAAGGTACAGTGCCAGCCCAAATTTTATCATGTTTCAATATAAAAATACACCAAACCAATACTCCAGTAATTCCATTTAAATTTTATTTTCCTTGGCAGACAGCTAGGTCATGGTTGCTTTTTGTTAGGACTTACATCAGGGTGGACTTAGAATGGGCACATGAATGTAAATAAGCATGATATGTGTAGGGAAGGGAGAAATTATGCAGCAACTACACTATTTATTTGACTTTTGAAAACTTCATTTACTGAACCCAGCATGAGTTTTTGCAGTCAGACTTGGAATTTAAGTGTTTCATTTCAATGCCATGCTTCTCCTCAGATTGCGCTTTCTTTGCCCTATCATGAGAACACTGGGGATGCCATGCATCCTCATGCTTACGGAAGTGGAATAGAGCAAGCAAATAAAGTTATATGCTAAGGATTGTTTTGTAGAGAATTATGGTTCAAACTGTGTTATTATAAGGGTCAATGTGAGATTTTTAAGAATACTCTAATCCCTTGAATCTCTTCTAAGTGAGGTCAGTATAAAAGAAGAAAGTCTGCTTTTATTCAAACCTTATGAGTGTTCTTACGGTTGTATGAAAACAGCTGAGTTTTGTGAAGACAGATTCCTACCAAAGGATTCATGTGTAATATTTTTCTTTCATTGCTCCCCCTCTCAAGCAGCGGAACGAGAGCTTCTGAGAAATCTCCCCTCACTTGTCCTGGATTTTCAATCTCTGTATTTCTTTTCAGGGTGGAACTGAGTATTTCCGAAATTGCACAGACAATAGAGACATCATTATTTGGGTGGCACCAACTAATACATCAAGATTTTTTCTTTTTGGAGCCAGTAGCATCTCAGTTCCTTGATTATTTCCCCAATCATTTTGCAGACTCTAATGTTATACATGACACATCTATTTCTTTGTTGTTTCTTTCCTTCTGATGTTCTATAAATTCTCTTTATTAAAGAGAACATCCTCAGATAAAAATTTAGAAGGATATCTCTGAGAATTAACTTTTACCTGACTTTAAGAACACTTTACATCAATAACAAATCTGTGGCAATTTTCTCTTTTCTTACCTTCCTAAGTAGGAGGGAAACACCTGTTTCAAATTCAACAATAATTTGTATGATGAATTTTCATTTAATTTAGACTAGAACATTAAGTTGATTTCCCTTTTACTCCTTGAATGTGAAAATCCCTTGGAACTTCTAAAACGAGTTATTTTTATTGGTAAAAATCGATGAGGGAGGTGTTTTTGCCACAAGGCTATATAAAGTAACTTTTATTTCTTTTCCTTTTACTCATTTTTTACCACTATGACTCAAAGGAAAATACACCACTCCTGATACACATAAACCAAGAGAAACAAAATACAATATTTATGTGTATATCTTTCTCATTGAACTTCACATTGCTAGAAGTATTTTTCTAAAGACAATGTAAACATGTCATTTCACTACTAAAAATTTTTTAGTAGATAATATCAATTGCTTTAAGAATAAAACAATTTTTAAAATAATTATATGAAAAAAGTTCTCAATCCAGTCTAATAATAAAGAGAAATATTAATAATAATTAACATTTATGTGAAGCCACTCCTCTAAGTACTTAAAATGAGTACAGTATAAAATGCTTCTATATTCAAGAAAGAAGGCTAATTGCACTTTAGTCATAATAACAAGTATCCACTAGAGTCAGTTTTAAGTCCATCCTAACCTGTCAATTTTACATCAGTAACCATGCTAATGCTAATGAAAAGCAATAAATATAGCCACGTCATTTCAGTGACCATGTTTCCAAGAATCAACCAAGCATCAAAAGCCACACTGCAGTATTCACCCTTCCATGGCTAACACTCATCCCAAACACTCTAGCTTCTGTAAATTTGCCAATCTCTGAGATCCATACTTCCTGGAAGCCCTCATTATTTGCTCAGGGAGACTATATTTTATAAAACTCATTCTTCTTTGATTACCAAGCAATAACTTCATTTTTTTTTTTAGATGTGGCCTGATGGCCTCTTCTTTCAACAGGACTAATTTGTTTAATCATCATACTAGTGCTGTGAAGTAGTAATGTTATTGTACCCATTTTACAAATACAGAAATGAAGTTAAATAAATATTCAGTAACTTGCCCAACATCACTAAACAAATAAAGAGTGAAGGAGAATTTGAATCTAGAAAATGTGGTTCCTGAGCACATTCTTACAGCCACTATTTCATATGGCCTCTCCTAATATCTTCCTTACGTGCTAACTCTTCATCTTCACTTCTCAACCCTCTCTAACATGCACTACTCGCTCCTGCAGTACTTGCAGCTCCCTGAATGCTCCATATCTGCCCTTTCCTCTGATTTCTTTTACAGGTCATTCCCTCAACAAGAACAAAACCCCTTCCCACCTCAATTATGCCTAGGGCAATACTCATCCTTCATTAACTTTTACATTTAATCTGAGAGACCTCTAAGAGTGTCCTCCTTTTACAGATGTAAAATTGAAATTTAAAGGGATAAATAATGTGCCTACAGTCACACAGTCAACAAGTAATAACAGCAGCACTTGACTACATTAATGCTGACTCACAGTCCTATTGCTTCTCATAGGAAATATTTCCTGCCATCTTCATCATTTGATTCCTCTTCTGAAAACCCTCTCCAAATTCACAATCCTCCACTTCTATTTTGCCCTCAAAATAAAACATACTAAAGGCCCGACTAAAGCAACACCAAGTGGAAGACTTCCTACTTATCCATTTCCCCCTGAAAACAGCCCTATGTTTTTTTATTCATGGTAATATTGCAGATGTGATGATGATATTCAAGTCTAATTTAACAGTCTGGAGATGACATCTGCAGCCCAGTTACCACACTGGCAGAGCTGGTGCTCAATAAATCATTGGTATTAATTGTTACCTGCATCTTGCATTTAAATTATTTTGCCTATATTAATTATTTCATTAGTGGTTCCTATTTAGTATATACCCATGGATTTCTATTACTATGCTACTTTGAGTTGTAATCTGGTCTCTCTTACCTTCCCTCTCTAAACCTTGGAATTTCAAATCCACAAAATCGAAATAATAACATGTTTGTCTCAGAGGTGGTTTTGAAGAGTAAATATGGTAATTCACACAATGTGCTTAGCACAATCACTGATACTTGCACACCCCCAAGAAATGGGGGCTTCAGTGTCTTATTTTAATCATGTCTATTATCTCTCACTAAATATGATATGCTTTAAATAGTACTAACAAGTTTTTTTTTAAGGGGCTTGCTTTCGAATCAGTTGTTTTCATGCTGGTGGAAGGCAACCCATACCAAAAAGGGAGTGCTTTTTAAAAGTAACAAATTGGTTGAATAAACATTAGTTCTTGACTATTGATACAGTTTGGATCTGTGTCCCTGCCCCAATCTCCTGTTGAATTGTATCACCAGTGTTGGAGTGTTGGAGTGGAGCCTGGTGGGAGGTGATTGAATCATCGGGGCAGATTTCCCCCTTGGTACTGTCCATGTGATAGTGAGCTCTCATGAGATTTTGTTGTTTAAAAATGTGTGGCACCCCCCTACACACCTCTCTTCCTCCTGCTCTGGCCATGTAAGATGTGCCTGTTTTCCCTTCACGTTCTGCTATGACTGTAAGTTTCCTGAGGCCTCCCCAGAAGCAGAAGCCACTATACTTCCTGTGCAGCCTGCAGAACCACAAGGAAATTAAGCCTCTTCTTTCTAAATTATCCAGTCTCAGGTATTTCTGCATAGCAGTATGAGAATAGACTAATACAGCTATATAAGTAATCACATGAAAATAAATTACACAAAAGTGGAATAGGATCTTTGCCACTAGTTGTGCAACAAAAAAAATCCTTCATAACTAAACCACCTCATGTCCACTTCCTACACACAACTTCCAAATTAATCTTTCTAAGGTATGACTTGGACAATGATTCCTCTCCTTATAAACTTGCAGGAGCTCTATTTCCTACCAAATATGGCTGAAATTTATCACCTGAGCACTTGTCCCTTGACACATTATCCTTATGTTGTTGCCCATTACTTCCCATCAAGGGTTCAACATCCTCACGCACTTGAAGGACCTACTTTTCCCTATAGATTCACCATGATTTGTACCTGCTTGCCTTTCTCTATATTGCTCTAGATACCACTAAAGCCTTTTATCACCTCTCTCCACAGCCAAAGTGTATCTTTTAGGGTCTAGCACAACTGTAGGAAGTCTTCACAGGAACTGGAAGTAATCTTTCTTGCCTGATATACTACTCTCTTAATTCTCTTACCTCCGGCCTTATAGTACAATACACTTAATTGTGTGATTTATTCTATGGGACTATAAATTATTTAACTTAGAAATCCATGCCTTTTTAAACATTCTATCATACTCAATACTAAATACTACTTCAAACTCTGTAGGTGCTCAATACATTTTTGTGATCTATCAATTTATATTTGCATATCATAAATTAGAAGTCCAGGGATCTCTCAAAATTTTTTCATTTCATGATTATTTTAAGATATACTGAGCTATATTTTTAAGTGCACAATTTCAGCCTTCAATGCAGATGCAGAAAAGCATTGAATAGCATAAATCCAAAATCAAAATTTAGTTTAGCACTTGACTTACATCTACCGATACATTTTAAAAATATACATGGGAGGGTATTCCCAAACTTTAACACATCCAGACTTCATCATAGGTACTTTGAAAACATATAGTAAAAACATGATTTTGATTCAAAAATTCAAATTTTTGGTAATAAAGACCTACAACCATAGGTACCTACTATGTATCTACGATCTGTTTGTTTCACAATAAGTTTTAGTAATAATTTATTAAGTAAATTTATTACAATTCTTTAAAAATACTGGAAGTATACTATTAGAAATTTTTCTGATGATACATTCAAAGATTACCTTCAATTACAAATTTTAGTTTTCCCATTTGCCTTTTCTAGCTTATTTTTAAAATAAATTATATAATGAATAATATTTTAAATCTGCTTATTTCAACAATTGAGCCAAATCCAAACTGTTCTGTAGGGAGCAATCACTTAACCTGAGAGCTAACATTATAATTTGTTCTCAAAACCAACATTAAAAATCAATTAATATTATCAGAATTTCATGGCCATGAATTTCCCTGCCACATAGGGACTCACATGTGCACTGAAGTTTAATGGGATCCTGAAAAAGATCTAAAAAAGTACAATGGAACAATGTAAAAGACTTTCAGAAGAAAGTAATTACTTTTCTCCAAATGAAGTGTAAAGTAAGCACGCCGAAAACAAATTTCTTCTGGTTGAATGGGTTCCTAATTAAAAGTAATTAAGTATATCTATATGGTGCCTTTGTGGTTACAAATAATTGTCTCATTGTAAATACTCAAATGCTGAGAATCTGGCCCCAAGTTTGAATGAGCCAAGTTTAATTTTCAACTGGACATGAGCACATTATGGTCCTGGGTATATAGTCAGAGAAGAAACTCCATTAGAATTCATCCACTACCAATCACAGAATATCACCACCTACCTGCATTATTCTTCAAGGCCATTTTCTCTATGATCCTGGCTTAGGAAGAAAATAGACCATGTAAATCTGGTCTCCTCAAGAAAATCTGACCTATGAGGGATTTGTGTTTATTGTGGATGAAACTTTTTTTTTTTTTTGAGAGACAGGGTCTCACTCTGTCACCCAGGATGGAGTGCAGTGGTGTGATCATAGTTCATTGCCACCCGAATCTCCTAGGCTCAAATGATCCTCCCACCTCAGCCTCCCCAGTAGCTGGGATTAGAGGCATGCACCAGCACACCTGGCTAATTTTTCAAAAAAATTTTGGGTAGAGACGATGTCTTGCCATGTTGTCCAGGCTCTTCTCCACTCCTGAACTCAAGAGATCCTCCTGCCTCAGCCTCCCAAAGTGCTGGGATTACAGACATGAGCCAGTATGTAGGCATAGAACAGAGAGTATTGATGATGTCTATCACCTAGGCATTGGCTCAATCCCTTCCCATCCCTGGATATTTCTCTACCTTCCTAGCTACTTCTCACTTCAGTTATTGCTTGCTTAATACTCTATGCTATTATCCTTCACCTCCATGGATGTTTCCTTCTCTTTGTTTCATGTCAATTTGTTGAAGGATCACTTCCATTTTTCCCTTTCTTTATTTTCCATAAAATACTACCTATGCAAGGTGTTTTGTGTGAATGTGGCAGATTTTACTGAATGTTGTAGAGAAGCAGTCTTTGTATTGTAACCATCCAAAGAAAACTAAATAGTAAATAGCTTTGTTAGTAAAAGAAGAGAAGTTTTGTGGCATGTTGTATTTTTGAACCATTCTCTTTCTCCTTTCCTTCCTCTATGATCCTTTTTTTTCAGCCCCTCATATTCCTATTCACTTATTAGTATGGTAGATAGGCCATCTTTTTGTGTTTTTTAGCTCTATTAATCACATTCCCTTAAAGTTTGACTTAAAACCTCAGGCTACATTACCATTTGAAAACATTTATCAAAGTATTACCATAAACTAAGAAAAAACAAATCAAGATAAGCCAAAGTTTTATCTCTCCCCAAGAGGAATCTTGATGCCAACTGTCAAGGTTGTTTTAAATCTTATAGTCTTTGAACACTCCTCAGCAACACTCCTGAACATGTGTTATCTGGAGATCGTATCCCAGAATCTTTAGATTGAGGTATAACTAAGCATGACCTCTGGGTGTCAAATAAGGTGATAGTCTCAGCCAGTTATGGTTTACTCTTGTCTGCTTCTTCCCTCCAAAAGAGGAGAAATTTCTTCCTTTCATTGAGTTCTCATCTTGGCAACTTGTGTTCCGCATACTGTTACTTTTTTTTTTTTCTTTTTTTAAGACAGAGTCTCACTCTGTTGCCCGGGCTGGAGTGCAGTGCCATGATCTCGGCTCACTGCAACCTCCCCGTCTTGGGTTCAAGCAATTCTCCTGCCTCAGCCTCCCAAGTAGCTGGGATTACAGGCGCCTGCCACCACACCTGGCTAATTTTTTGTATTTTTAGTAGAAATGGGGTGTCACCATGTTTGTCAGGCTGGTCTCGAACTTCTGACCTCGTGATCCAGCCGCCTCGGCCTCCCAAAGTACTGAGATTACAGGCATGAGCCACCCCGCCTGGCCATACTGTTATTTTTAGGTAGATATCTATTTTCTCCCTATTAATGGCTATATCACCTTATTCTTACCTTTGGAACAAATCCCCATTTGACTCTATTCCAGAATAGAAGAACATCACTTCATTGGGATGAGACAAACAACTTACTTGAAGAAAACAAAAAGCTAACTCCTTCTTTTTCTTGCTTTCTCTATCAGGAATAGAAAAATTATGATTTAAAAAAAATCAGCAAGAACTTGTTCTTATTGCATTTCATGCTATTTCTGAGTTTGTGAGCTCTCAGCAGCCTTCCATGGTGTCAACCCATTATATACCTTTAAAAAAAAAACTGCCTCCATTAAACTTTAAGCTGTCAAGGATTACAACGAAAAGATGCAATTTTTTTCACTGCAGGAAAGGTCTGATTTAGTAACAAGCTATAAGCTAACAGAGCAGCAGAATCCACATATAATGTTCCATTGAAAGGAAAAAAAAAGTGCTGCTTTTTTGTGTCCTTCATCCTTGTTTTTTTTCTTTTTATATTAAAAAATATGTGGTCCATTTAGCTTTCGAATACAATAGAGACTACAAATTGTGTTCCTCTTACATTTGTGGCTACGAATCTTGGTGTTCAAACACATATAGACGTGCAATTCGTTTACATGCCTCCTATATTGGAAGGGACACCATCGAGAAAAAAAAATTGTTAGTCCACATTGCCGTCTAGCTTACGTGTTTAATGTTGATTTCATTAGTCATTTAATTCCAAACACCTTTATTATCTACTTGTTTGAAAAGCCTATTTATTTTCACCACAATGCATACATTAAAACAAGTGACTGAATAGAAAGCCAGGCTTGTGGCCTGGTGCTTTCTTGGTGCAGAAATGATATACTCCTCCCCCACTTTAGCTCCAGCATCACAATGTCAAACATTCCACACATTCCCTAAGGAATCTGCAAGGCTAATTAGGGTGAGCTTCACCATAAAGAATACAGTTGTTAAAACAGCTTCTGTACACACTAGAGTAATGAGCATTCTTTACACATGCTGTGATGTGTTACTGCAATTTGCAGTCATATATCTCTTAGGAAATAACTCATATGTTGTTATTTATTGCATGTATGATTATTAATGATATATTAACAACTGTTGAAAGCAACTTATTTCACCTCAATAACTCATGTACTTAGCTCTATGTTTAAAGAGCCAAGGAAGCATCACTTTTTTTCCAGAAAGCTATGCTTTTTCTTTTCTTTGTGTTTTTCTCCAAGATGATAAAGAAAACGTCCAAAGTCTTATGAATAAGAAAGATGTTATTAACTTTTCTTAAGAGTGATTTTATTATCTGTTACAGAAGAGTATTTTTTTAGAGTTGAGTCATTTACAATTTTTGAATCTCTCATAAATGCAATTCCTATAATAAACTGTCTAATAATATAAAATCAAATACTGTGAAATACTGTGTGTTAATTATTATTAGTGACTTGAGTAGAAACAGCCTCATGTACAAAGCTAATTTTTAAATTAATGTTGCTAGAAGAAATATGTTGCTGCTAGTCAAATTCAGTCCAAATATAGAGTTACCTAAATACTTGAAAATGCTGTGTTGGTAATTTATCTTGCATTAAATATACAAGGGAGGTTAAGCTTTTGACTTAAATATTATGTGTGAGACATTGCACCATTCAGAATTGATGAAAACTGAGCTCCTTACTGCTTCACTTTCCACACTGACAGATTTTTACCAATTAACTACTACCCAAATGTCTTCTGATAATTGGAATATAGAAACAAGCGAGGTTGTGTTCCAGAAATTAGAAATACAGCATTAGATCTACACTTTAATGGATCTTTGAGGCACTATGGGAAAATTTCAGGATCTAAACACCTGTTTTGGCTTACCTGAAATCATGGGTGCTGAGTGCTTGCATCCCTGCAGGAATCTTTTCCAGAGATATAAATTGCTTTACAAGTGTGGTATATTTCCAGAGAAACAAAAGATTCTGCCTTTTGAAATATTCAGAAATCTGAAGAAAGCCCTGTACTGAGGGTTCATTACCAAATAGTCAGATAATGTTGTAGATCTACACAATATTAGAGGCAAATAAAAGATTAATTTGGCTTTGATGATCAGAAAGAATGACTGTTGACACAAAGTGATGCCATCTGATGAGACAGCACCTTAGGTTGCTAATTACTTAGGTTTATAAAATCATTTCTGACAAGTGTTCATTTCATGAGACCTTTTGAGTTCTTTTGTGAAATAGAGTTTTGCAATGAATATTGTCAGAACAGTTAGGAAAGCTGATGTCAAATATTATCATCTTTGAAATACTATCCATTGCACAGTTTTGTTGTGGTGGTGGCTTTTTTTAAGCAGATTGTATTAAAAAGTGAACTGAAGGCATAAGATTCTCAACGGCAGAGTATGATACCATTTGTCAAATACTAGAGGTCTGAGGCAGAAAATAGTATAACAATAAACTAGCAGAGAAACAAACAAGCAAGCAATGTGAGTAGGTCTCTGGAACAGTCTTTCCAGAAAGACTGAAGGGACAAGACTTGAAGGAAAGCAACACATCTGCATATCTAAGGAGAATGATAACAACATCAGATGAAACAAGTGAATATCAGGATTGAAAAGGCTGCAGAAGTTTGCAAGCAGATGTCAAAAAGCATACAAGAAAATGTCAAGAAAAATATAACAAGCAGCTAAAACTGGTTGCAGAGATTAGGGTGCTAAATATATGCATGATGAGCACACTACTCTATGGCTTGCAGACCCAAGAGCTGCTTCACAAGCAAGAAGGGGAAAAAAGAGGTTCATAAATAATTTCTGCAGATAAAACTGGGGTCAAATGTAAACAGAGGCAGAAAGCAAATAAAGCTCTGCCAGAACTTGCTTTCAGAGTTCCTATGCCTGGCTACTTTACCAGATAATGAGAGAATGACTTTTTCTTAAATCGGAATTAAATGTGGGAAAATCTGGGAAACAAGGATGTTCCAGAAGCAGAGAGAGGAAAGAGGGTTAAGAGAAACAGATTCAATAGAGCCACGCTCCCTCACTCAGATCATCCTCAGAAGTCTGCTTGCTGCAAGGTAATATCTCAAAAACCCACTGCTTTAGGTATCTAAAAACTTCATATGGCAGTAGTCAGGGCTACATAATCAACATTGCCTTTTCTATGGTTTTACATTTAGTTCATTTAAGAAAGGTAATACACATACACAATATAAAAAGCAACTTGGACCCACATATTGAAAATAAAATAAAAGCCTCATCTCGTTCCCACACCCGAACTAGAGTCTGGGGTCAAATGTAAACAGAGGCAGACCTAGAGTCTGTCCTGGCTTAATAGCACCTGCTTCCTCTGACTATAGGAGAGGAGAGGAAGAGGAAAAGTCTGCACGTTAAGCTTTGCTTCAAGATACATTTCTTCCTAAGGCAGAATGTTTTATGGTTGCAAACATCATTGATCATTATCATCTGAAATCCCATCTTTAGTAGCTATTGTTTTGCCTTTTGTTTATATCACTGTACATTATCTTTCCTGTAGAGCTGCTCCCACTTCACAACTTTAATAAACAATAATAATTTTTAAATCTGTATTTCCAGCTGTGAATTTATTTCTCATCTCCAGATCTGTCTCTCTAACTCTCTAACATTTCACCAGCATTGTAATCCAACAAACCAATTCACAACTGACTTTCAATAAGTAGACTTCTGAGGATGATCTGTGTGAAGAAGCGTAGCTGTATTGAATGTTTCTCCTAACTCTCTCTTTCTTCTCTCTGCTTCCAACTCTTCCTGAGTACATCCTTTGTGAGGTAGGTATTAGGAAAGATGGGATTCCTGAGGCTGTTCTCACTCTGGTTGAAGCATTATAGGAATTTCACTTTGGGTCAGTTTCCTCTTACATCCTACAAGCTGCAGTATAGCAAAATGGCTAGATAAGCTCAGTTTTTCAACTAATAAAATTCTCATATGTATGTATGTATCTAATCTATCTTATTGCCCCCAAAACAGAGTATTTTAAGAATTAAGTATGTTTTATAGTATATGAGAAAGTGATAATATATAGACAGAAAAGTAAAACAGAGAAAGAGAAAAAGTAACACCAGGGGACAAGGATAACAATTGCTATCAAATAATTTCTGGAACCATTCCCTGTTTTTGCTTCCCTTCTATTTAAATTTCTTACTTATTCAAACTGAACTTCTGAAATATTCTTCATGTCCCTTTCTAGCACCTTTATCATGAAATTGGTTCCCTGAAAACATCATTTTTATTGTATTATTCATCTTAAAATTTTTCAATGCCTCCAGTCATGCATGGAAAAAAAAAGTCCAACTTGTTCTATGTGTTCAAAAAATTTATTTAAACATGTTTTCTAGCCCATCCACAACATCACTTCTGGAATGTAATTCACTGAGCACTTACTGGGTATCAATCAGGTGCTAAGTAATCTAGTGGAGAAATAAAATAATTAGGCTACAGTCTCTATTCTTAAGGAGTCCAGTATATGGCAGAGAAAAGACCAACAGCAAAAAATAAATACCCCTAACCTACAATCTTTGATCTATAATTTTAAGCTTTATGGTGTTTTCCTGCTCCTAAAACCAATTCTGTGCTCAAGCCTACTCAAATCTTTTTGCTATCCTTCAGAATTCATTTACAGGCATGTCCCTGTCCTTTCTGCAAAGACACTTTAACCATTTGGTTATTTTCAGGACTCCTATAGAATTGATCACTGGTACAATTGATTTTGACACTCATGTCAATATTAAAATTTACCTACTAAAAATCTACTTTCTTCCTTCTGTACTAACAGATGCTAATTTTATTCCAAGAGGAAATATGCCCAGCTAAATAATTGTATTTTCCAACTTGCCTGGCAGATAGTGGCAATCAATAAGAAGTAGGCATAAGGACTATGTTGAGTTTTCATAGAGTTCCTTAAAGTGACCTGACTCAGACAGATAAGCATTGCTGTATTTTGCTCTCTCCCCGGTTCCTCTTTCTTCTAGTCTGTAATACAGACAGGAAGGCAGGAAATCCAGTAGCTATGCTGGATCACAAAATGACCTTGAGTGTGAAAACCATGTACTAATCATGGAGGAGAAAGACTAAAGATACTGGACCTGATAATTGTGGGGCTGCCACACCAATGCATAATAAATATCCATGAACTTCTTTTACGTGAAAGAGAAATAAAATACATATTAGTCTAATCCACTAAGATTTTGCTGGGGTGGGAAAGAGGAAATTTCATTTTCCTTATCCAAGTGCAATTCCTAACAGACTTAGCACCATTTAGCCAGGAATTCAGTCATTAACAAAACATTTGTTCACTAGACATTGCTATGTACTGGATTTTATCCCATATTAATGACACGAAGACAAATGAGAAATAGTCTTTGTTTTCTAGATGCTCCCAAACTCAGTGGGAAAGATAAAGAAGAAAAAAAACAATTAATATAATACATTGGACTCAAGCACTGTGGTAGAGGCCACCCTCAAGTGCTGTATGAGGACATATTGGAAGAACCTCAAAGAGAATTGCCTGCAAAAAGTAGCACATGAGCCAAAATCTGAAGACAACCAGAGTTATCCTGTTAAAGGGGCAAAAGGAAGTGTGGAGTTATGGGGCTGCATAGGTGGGCAGAGGACAGGTTACAAAATGGTTTATCATGCCACACTCAAAAATTTAGGGCTTTATCTCAAGATGATTAGAAGAAATTGAAGCATTTTCAAAAGGAGGATCAAAATCAGACATATTTAACACACATGAGTCTAGAAATTATTTGGAGAATTTTGAAAAGAGGAACATCACTTATAAGGCTGTTGGAAAAAGCAAACTATAAAATAAGAAGCCTGATGAAGAAAAGATGTTTGATGGAAAAGTAATTTGGGAATTATAATTGACAGAATTTCCTGGGGATTCGTTGTAGGGGATGACAAGGTAGTAGATAGAGTCGGGTATGATTCAAGAGAATGGAGGTGTCACCAACTGAGAGAGGGAAGAAGAGGAGCATGTTTATTGAAGGCTCTGAAAAATGAGAAATTCAATTTTGAACGTGATGCTCCTGAAGTGGCATAAGATAGCCAAGGGGGTATTTTGTAGGTGGTTATATATAAACACCAAGTTCTAGGCTGAATTTCAATCATCAACATCTATGTGATGGTGAAACCATGGATACAGGTGAAATCACCCAGATGATGAAGAGTTACAGAAATAGACTTCTGGGGGAACACCACCTTTTAACAGACCAGCAAAGGATGAAAAGGTCGTGAAGGAGACTGAATGTGTCCAGAGAGATAAAGGAAATCGAGAGAGAATGTGAATTGAATGCTAAGAAAAGAAAAGTTTCAAAATGTGAAGAGGGGTCAAGGTTAAATGTTGCAGATCAGTTGAATGTTGCAATGCTAAAGGTTTTAAAGAGAACTTTAAAAAGTATATTATTTTTGGCTGCAAATTCAGGGAGAGCTGTTTCAATGGCATGTAGGGAAGGACCAAAGTTGAAGTGGTTTGAATAACAAATGGGAAATACATGTATGATAGTGCAATTATTCGCTGTGTATCATGTCTTATATGCTCAATTAAACTACAAGTTTCTCAAAGGCAGTTTTTACATGTCTTTTCTATCCTATTTATGTTCCATTTTATATATGCATATATATTTACTTGTGTGTATAGGTATATATTTATTGTGTGCATAGACATGTACATATTGTATACATATATTATTTACATGTATATATATGTATTAACAAATGTGTATATTGTATTTATAATATACACAACAATGGTTGCAAAACCACCAATGACTGAGATTGATCTGACAAATATACAAATGAAGTTCCCTGGGCCTCCAAGCCTACTTTGGCAGCAGTGACATTTTTAATCACTGTTCTTCCTTTTTCCCCCTTATCTCCCAAGAAATATCCAGCCTGTTTTTCCCATAGTCTTGTGTGCACCAAGTGTGTAGCCTGCTGTTTCTCTTTGCTCCTAAACATTTATTTTCCTCCTTTGTATCTACATTTTCTTTCCTCCTCAGCTCAGATTATGAGCAGCCTGCCTTCAACAGCTGGCATTTATAGAGCTATAAGTTTCCATAACTTCTACAGGAGCTCTGCATGCATGCGCATGCCAAATGAAGCCCTCAAGCTATTCTGCAAATAATTTCTACAGTAAATTTTACTTGTAATGACCTGAAGTTGAGTTTGTATCCTTTAGGAAAAGCTATATCTTCTCACAGAGCCCACAAGTTCTCTCTTTGCAATGTTAAACCCAAATTTTACTGGTATAATTAGTATACATATGAAATTTATGGCACAAAAAATATAACTGATTAAAACAAATGGAATCATTTTAAGCAGCACTAAAGCACAAACATACTTTTGTTTAGAAAACCTCTTATTTTTCTTATGGTGTCTTTGGGCTTAGGGTTCCCTATAACTCCAATATGGTGTGTTTGGAGCTTCTATTATCTGTTTTGGCATTTCACACATGGAACACCTGCATGAGATAGGTTCCTTGACTCCACAAACAGCTTGCAGGATAAGAATTTATTTTTGAATGAGTCTTATTCATGCTGTTTAAATGAGAGGAGAAGTGCCACTAATAGTTTCTTTCAGTTTTGTAACTGGAATACTTTATAGTTTCATCTAACTTTTATTTCCCCCCATCTGCTTAAGTGACTTCATTCCTCTCAAGTTGAAAATGTCAAGGCTATTTACTAATACTATGTTAGAAGGTCTTGGTGCATTTTTTCCACCACCACCTTTTCCCCTGCCAACACTCTGCTTTTATTCTCACAGGTCTTTTATAAACCTTTCCTTTCCCACTGATATTCTCCAGTCTAAAACAGCTCCAAAAAAAAAAAAAAAAAAAAAAAAAAACAGTAACAAAGGAGGGGCTGGGCGCGGTGGCTTAGGGCCTGTAATCCCAGCACTTTGGGAGGCCGAGGCGGGTGGATCACCTGAGGTCCGGAGTTCGAGACCCACTTGACCAACATGGAGAAACCCCGTCTCTACTAAAAATACAAAATTAGCCGGGGGGTGGTGGCACATGCTTCTAATCCCAGCTACTCTGGAGGCTGAGACAGGAGAATGGCTTGAACCTGGGAGGCAAGAGGTTGCTGTGAGACGAGATTGCTCCATTGCACTCCAGCCTGGGCAACAAGAGCGAAACCCCATCTCAGAAAAAAAAAAAAAGTAACAAAGGAAGAATAAGAGTTGGAAGAATAAGGGGTAAAGTGAAGAGTGGAGAAGCAACTATTTTGCAAGGAGATATAATTTAAATTGCCTCAGTCACTGTTGTTGTATAAACCATTGAATCAATAACACTCCTCAAAGTCTAAACTTTCAAAATCTCTCCCCACTGGTCTCCTACGGTACTACCAATCACCTTTGCTCCTTTCTGTATATCGTACATTCTTCTTTTTATAAATCACAGGCTCCATGGTATCTTTTGTTCTTAAAAAAAGCAAGAAACTAAAAATATTAAGTCAAGTTATTTGTGTTTCCTTATTTGATTCCAAGGAATGATAAGGAAGGAATATATGCTTTCTTCATCTTCATAGAGCAGCTCTACTTTCTCTTTCCACAATGAAGGAAGATTTTCATTTGAAGCACATGGTGTGCTGGTTGAACCTCATGTCTTGGAAAGTTCCTTCCTGGGCTTCGACTCTACTATGAAGGAGGTATATGTGGGGGTAGTGGTGGAGGGGTAAGGGAATGGGAGAAGGTTGACTTGTTAAATGTGCCAATTTCCATGGTGTAAATACTTTCACCATAGTAAACTTCAATAAAACAAGAGTTTATAAACTGGCTCTCACATTTTTTGAAAATTTAACTATTGGCCCTCATAAATTGTTAGCTGTTCCTGCATACCACTGCAAAACGATGAAAGAAAGAGAGAGAGAAAGAAACAAAGAAACAAAGAAAGAGAAAGAAAGAGAGAAGGAAGGAAAGGAAGGAAAGAAGGAAGGAAGGAAGAAAGAGAGAAAGAAAGAAAGGAAAAAAACTGAAGAGGGAAAATACACCTTTTTCACTTTCTGCCCTACTAATTATTTAATTACTTGCATTACTGAAAGATCTGTCCTTACAGCTTTGTCTGGGTCTGTTCTAGGCAAACTAGCAAAGTTGGTATGATTCACCCTCAAGGCCTTTTGTTCCCAATGCCTCTCTAGTGTCCCGTGATTTAGGAATCCTGCAAAATGCTCTCACTTCCATTAAAATCACTTGTCCTGCTTTGCATTCTGTCACTAATCTGATAACTTAAGTGATTCAATGAACTCACAAATGAGTTAATGGGCACTAAGTGTTAATAGAGATAACGGCTTGATTCTGTATTCTTTCTTGTATTATCTACATTATAAAGAGTGACGGTCTGAAAAGAATGTTCTAACTGAACAATGATTCTGTAGCACTATTGGACACTAAGAAAACAAGAGAGCTTTTAGGTGTGTCATGTTAATTCTCAAATGTTAAAGGGATATTCAACTCAATTTTCTCCAAAATAAGCTGGGAAAACTCCAGAGGATGGAGGAGGTTATCTTACTCAGTTTGTCTAACTCAGCATTTCTTTCTGACTTCTCAAAGGCATTTCATTCATGATTTCTATAAAATCTTGTTCAGGACCAAGTCTTCTGTCGCTTTATTCCTGAAACTTTCCATTTCTCTTGACGCCTGTGCTGTACATTAACTTCTGACCTTTCTCCTATTTGAAAGTTCTTTCTTATTCATTTGAGATTTTGCTGAAATTTTAGCTCTTTCTAAATAGGTTTTCCTAGTGCTTATCCCACTATATCTCACCTTCACTCTGATTTCATTAGTCTGTATATACCAACTAGATGACCTGGAGCAAGATAGTTTAGCATTCTGTGCCTTGGTTTCATCACCTGTAAAATAATAATGACTTTAATATGTACCCCATAGAATTATTGTGAAAATTATGTTTGTTAACATGTGAAATGCACGTACAAAAGTAATGCACACATAGTAACTTTGCAATGAAAATCAGATTTTAGGGGTAGCAATATGATATTTCATTCCTAATCAAACTTTTTGCTTTTTAAAATCAGAGACCATTTCTTAACCATCTTTGTATTCTGAGCTTCTCTCTTCATACCTAGCATTTTGTAGAAGCTCAATACATATTTCCTGACTAATACATAATACCTGGTAAGTTTTCCCTAGTCATATTTATGCATATGTTTGGTCTTCTAAATTAAATTGTAAATATTTCTAGGAAAGAAATCTGCCCTTTACATTTTTAAATTTCTCAAACAACTTAATGTAGTACAAGAAACTTAGTAATAACACTAATGAATGAATCAAGAATGAAATAGTAGGCGGGGCTTGGTGGCTCACGCCTGTAATCCCAGCATTTTGGGAGGCCAGGGAGGTTGGATCACCTGAGGTTGGGAGTTTGAGACCAGCCTGACCAACATGGAGAAACCCCAACTCTATTAAAAATACAAAATTAGCTGGGCATGCTGGTGCATGCCTGTAATCCCAGCTACTCAGGAGGCTGAGGCAGGAGAATTGTTTGAACCCGGAAGGCGGAGATTGTGGTGAGCCAAGAGGATGCCATTGCACTCCAGCCTGGGCAACAAGAGTGAAACTCTGTCAAAAAAAAAAAAAAAAAAAAAAGAAACAGTATTAACCCTAGATGACCTCCATCGATTGTGTTCTCACATGATTTTTTAATTTTCTTTTTCTGCAGTATCAGAAAAAGCATCAAGTATAACAGCTGCCAGTGCAGGAAATACAGTTGATTTATGTACTTTACAGTATTGAATAGGTTTTTAGCACTCAGTGAATAGTAATAAAAACAATAATAAAAATAATAACTGGTGTAAACTGATTAAACAAAAATTATACAGTGAGACTGGTCATTCTATTGCAGCTGGAGAAATGAAGCAGGTCTACTACTTATAGATGAAAATTAACTTTCATGGTTTTCAGTGACTGCAAACAAATGAAGATGAGTCAGATAAAGTAGAAAAACTAAAACTAAAAGTTCTCCATATTGAGCTAATGTTTTAAATAAACATTGTGAGCCATATGAGCCATCTAGGCCAGTTAGATCGCTATAATTAAAGTAATCCTCAACAGTATTAAAGCTGAATTAGAGCCTTGGTCTCAGGCAAGATAGGATAATCTTTCTATTGGATTTCAAAGGACTTCAAATTTATATCAATTCATACTATATTCTTGTAGGTAACTTGTACTGTTGAAATAAAAAGAAAAAGATGACTAAAGCCAAGGAATGCAAAGAAAGGGTAAAGGAGTGAAGATCAACAAATAGAAGAGCTTGTTAAATTGAGCTCAATATTTTCTTCCACACTGAAAAACAAAGAGGAAGGCCTTGGTACCAATGTCTCATTACTTCTTCTATTCATCCATGTATTCATTTTAGAAGCATCCACTAAGCTATTACTATGTTGAATATGGGGCTAAATAAATGCTCACAAGTCATAAACACCTTGAGGCATATACGTTCAGGCATTATTTTATGCTCTTGAGTAGATAAAGATTAAAATATACTTTGGCTGTATGTCAAAGTAAGCTTTCCTATGGGGCAAAGTGTTAACAATTAACAATAAAGTGAATGAACTCCTACTATATGCCAGATCCTGTTCTCAAGCCTTCTCAAAACTCCATGAAGTAGGTATTAATATTATACTCTTCATGCACATGAAAAAATCACAGCTCAGAGAGATTAAGTAAATCACACAGTGTCATTCAGCTAGTAAGTGGCAGAAGTAGGCTCTGAACCCAAGCAGTCTGCCTTCAGGGAACCTGAAATCTTCACCACTTCGGTGCACTGTCTCACAATAATAGTCTTAGGTAACTCTGAGTGCTTACTATGTACTGAGTACTCTAATCACATTATGTTATTGACATTCAACAACAACAAAAAAAGTCTGTAAGGTAGATACTGATGAGAAGCTCAGAGAGGAAAAGCCACTTGTTCAATAGCATGTAGCTTAGTAGTGATGAAGTTAAGATTTAACCCAGGAAATCTACCTGGTCCTAAAGTCTGTGTCTGTAACCACCACACCATGCTTCTTCCATCTGAGATTATTTCCTTTGTATGAGCAAGCTCATTACCACACAGACATTTTGTATTGAGCATTACCAGGAACCATGCGGATATTTTGTTCAACAAAAAAACGGAAAAATCCTGGATCCCTCTGTAGAGTTATTCAAATGGGTCAGAAGTCACAGCAGAACTTACGAGAAAATGTTCAAATTGAAGCACCCTAGTTCACCAAGTCTCTTTCCCCTTTATACATAATTTGTGACTAAATAGCTGTACTGAAGAGGGCTGCCCCCATTTAGCAGGGAATAATAATCAGGAGACCAACATGGGCTTAGGTATCAGATTATAATAACAACAGAGGAGAGTAGAGAGTCTTGAAGAGCCCCTTCTCCATCGTGGCCTGAAGAAAACTGTCTTTGCTGTATTTTTTAAAGAATTCAGGGAAGAGATATACACCATCTAGGAAAAAAGCAAAAAAAAAAAAAAAAAAAAAAAAAGGCAGGAAAAAATTAAAAGCAAGTTAATAATGCTAAAAATAGAAATGGAAGTTGAAGATAAAACCATTTTGTAATAAAAGATATATGAAAAGAAACACAATGGGGACAACATAGAAAACACAACTAGGGCTATGAAAGTCCAACTTAAAGAAATAAGAGAATAATTACATGGGGAAAAATAAATGTTTAGATATAAAATAAGATATAGAGAAACTAAATTCTATAGATACATATATGAGTGTATACATGTGCATATTCATATCTATCTCATATTTCTGAGGAAAAGAACATAAAGTCTGTGAATAAGGTATATGAAACACTGAAATAATAAAGACCTGAATTTGTATATTAGAATTATATATTCTGTCTTAGGAAAAAAATGATATGGATCAACCAACAGCATATATATCCTAGAGCAGTTACTAGACTTTGAGTATAAAGAAACAATCCTATGGCTGGCTTCCAGGCATAACTCCCTCACAGTTCTACCCCACATTCCCCATGCATGGATCTTGGGAGGATAGTTGCAGGTACTTGCAATGAAAACCTGAGACATGTACTGGAACAGTGAGTGGGAAAAGATGTAGCTGGGTCACTGACAGTATACGCTACAGTTGACTTTTTATAATTTGGAATTTGTTGTTATAAATTATCCTGAATAAATATTTGATTTCATGGATAAAAGAAACCTAATCACAATAACCCATTAGAGATTAAAAAATAATAAACAGTGGATAGCTGAGGGAAATAAAAGGTGGCCAAAATATTTTATTCCCCTTTAAATTATCTTTCAGTAATTAAGGTCACAGACAGATATTTCATAGAGCCCAGGCTATGCAATCCTTATGAACACTTTTGAGAACGATATCCAACCACTTTAATCACAATATCTGACTTGATAGAGATGAATCAAAATAAAGATCAGCAATAGAGCACTTGAAATAGAATGTAATGATGGTGAGCAGTGATTCAATTTATGTAAAAGAACTAATGATGAAGAAATGTGGGTACTATTATTATCACTTGTCAGTTCATATGATACAAGAAGACTGGGAGAGAGAGTAAGAGAAAGGGAAACACATGAAGTGAATGTACAATCATTTTCCAGGTGAGACCTCAATATGATACTATCTCCTTCTGTCAAATCAGTTTTAAAGATGAAAGTTATAAGTAATCATAAAATCAACCAAAATACTAATATGATATATTGGAAGGTGAGACTAACAAAAATTATTACTATGTACACTTAGTAACTAATTGAGCTAATTGCTTATCTTTTGATGTGGAGATTCAATAAGTTTTCCTAAAGTTAATAAATTAAGAAACAGTTTTAATATATTAAAACTTACAAGAATAACTTTAAAATCAAAAAGCATTCCAAATCTCAAGAAAAAAAATAAAGAAGAAAGCACAATAAAATACGAACTATTCAACAAAACATTGAAAACAAGAACACAAGAAATATAAAAAGATTGTAGTTCTAACATCAATCATATTTCTTACATTAGTAAAAGTAAATACAATAAAATATTAAGAATAAAAGATACTTTGATTAGCAACAAACCCCAATTCTATAGTGAATCTAAGTAAACTTTTAAAATAATGTGGCTTTAAAGTAATAAAAGAAATGGATAGGCAAAGACATATTGGGAAGATGCTAACAAAAAATAAAGTAAAATTTATAACATTGATATTAGAGTTGAAATTGTGAAAAAAAGAATATTAAAGGAGTTAAAGTTGACACTTTAATACTTTATAATGTGTAAAGACACATTGTATGTGTGTGTATATAATACATATATAACACTCTAAAGATAAAACAAATTCAAGATTTATATATTAGTAATAATAGTATAGTAGTAATAATAACATCAATAATGATAACAATAGTGAAAATAATCAAATGAATATCCCAAAAGCAAAGTCTGCATACTATAATAGAAAAATAAACAATAGTAGACTGTTTTTAACTTATATTTTTCAACTCGTATGGTTAAATAGACCAAATAAGTGTGTATAATAATAAAATACATCAAACTCCATACCCAAAACATTATAAAGATGTTTACTTTATTTTTTGAAAAGAAACTAATTTAGAGAAATTCTCTGCTTAAAATGCACTACAAAATGAATAACACAAAAGGGAAAAAAACAAAATACCAACTGTTAAAAGACAGAAGTTCTATGTTCAGCAGCTCCTAAGTTAAAAAGAAGAAGCCAAACCAAAGTGTAAAATATCTAAAAAAAAAAAGACCTATACAAATTGACTAAGATTATGATCAAAATAAAATTTTAGATTTTAATAATTACCTGTATAAACAATGAAGGATGAAGTAAATATTCTGCTAAGGCAATTTAAAAAGTAATGAGAACACAAAAATTAAGAAATGCCAAAGAAAGAAATTGCTAGTGATAAAAGCAAAAAATTAGTAAATGGGATAAAAAAAGGAGGAAAAGAGTTAAAAAAAAAAAAGTCCTCAGCCAAATCTCAGCATCATACAATGTACCTTTGTAACAAAACCGCACATGTACCCACTGATTCTAAAATAAAAGTTGACACAAAAAGAGTAAAAAAATAAATTCACAAAATGGTTGATGCACGTGCACATAAATATGTATCATATATAACTAAATATAAAAAATATATTCATATATTACTTTATATGTAACTAATATTAAAAACAATATAGGGAGAAAGCACATATATTATATATAACTACATATAAAGCTAAACACATATATGTGTTTACTAGTGTGTTTGTGTATGTGTGTACATATAAACTGATTTTGGAAAAATAAGATAAGGAAACACATATCATGAGTAAAACTGAAAAAAATAGAATATGTTAGTAAGTACAGATGAAGTGGAAATGAGAAAATATACTCTGAAGGTAAATTTGAAAGTCTGCATAGAATAAATTATTTCTTATGATAACAGAAATTACAAAGTTGGTCCTAGAGAAACATAAAAGTTAAATCAGATAAGGAAAAATTTTCAAATTTTCATTGGGGAAATACTAAGAAAAATCTTTATCCCTATTCCTAAATAAGTAAACCCTTCCTAAACAAAAGGGTTTCAGTGCTGAATTCTAACCAACTTTTAAGGAAGAGATAATCCAAAACTATTATAAATATTCCAGAAAATATAGAAACATGTAGCTTCCAAACTCATCCATTAAAGAAGCAATATAAAATTAATATCTAAAATCTAGAAAATTACCTTTTGAGAAAAGTGAGAAAAAAAAAATCACAGCTCCAAACTACTTTCGTGTGAAAAACAACAGAAATAATGAAAACCCCCAGCATATTGAAAGGATAACACAAAATTAAGATTTGTTCATGAAATGTGAAGAAAAATAATCTTCATATAAAGCTTATTATTGTATTTTAAAAGATTAGAAAGTGAAAAGATAAAAGCATATGATAATCTATGTAAATAATACAGTGTTTGGTAAAAATTAACTTCTAATCTTGATTTTTATAATTCTTAATTAAATGTATTATTACACCTTTATAATGTGTTTGATATGTATCTGAAAGCAAAATCCATGACAATGTGAAATATTAGAAGCATGCCCATTAAATTCAGTAACAATAAATAAGGATGCTGATTGCTATCACTATTATTCAATTGTTTAACATTGTTCTAGAAGTACTAGATAATATATTTTAAGATTTTAAAAATAAACAATGTAATTTTTAGAAAGAGATATAAATACTGGAAAAAATAAAATAACTTTTTTTAGATGATTATGCATCTGGGAAACCCAAAATAATTAAAATTAAAAGCAATACAAATATTCACTAAAAGAGCAAAATACAAATAAATAAATAAATGAAAATTAATTCCTTTCCTAGACACAATCAAACCCAATCATAAAAATACAGAAATAAAATCTCATCTTAAAAATAAAAAGAATAAACATCTAGGTATGAAGTTAATCACAAATTTGAAATATCTCTGTAAAAAAACTAAAATTCTACCAAAGAATATATATATATATATATACTTTAAGGGACTTCAAAAGAAAGAGACAAAACTTATTCTTGCACAGAAAGATTCAGTATTGTAAAAATGTAAGTTCAGACTAAATTAATCTACAGATTTCACATGATCCAAATAAAATACCAACAGCCTTATTTTTGGAACTTGAACAAGCTGATTCTAAATTTCTTATGTAAAAATAAACATGAAAAAATTGGCAGTAAGTTTCTGAAAAAAAAGTAGTAAAAGAGAATACCTCGATAAGATAGTAAGATATATTTTAATACTACTGTTATTGTTTGTTGCTGGGGTCTGATATGCAGACTGATCAATTGGATGGAAGAAAAACTCAAGAAATAAATAGAAATACATATAAAAATTTATTGTATCATAAAGTCGGCATCTTGAATCACTGAAGAAAAATAACTTTCTCAATAAATGACACTGGGAAAACTAGCTAGTTATTTTAAAAAGGAGCTGGTTACTGCCTTAAGAATAGACCCCAATAAATTCCAGGTGTATCAAAGGTTAAAATGTAAAAATAAAACTTGAAACGTTAAAAAAATTGGCATTAAAAATTAGTTTTGGTATGGGAACACTCTAAATAAGAGGAACCATACAGAGCAGCATTAGAAAAGATTGGTAAATATGACTACATAAAAAATATTTTCTATCCAGCTCCTCAAAAATTGAAAAAAAAATTGTAATGTTCATTAAATGGGATTTTCTGTACATGTCATAAGCACATATATAATTTTTAAAATAATAACTGAAATACAAAATAGGCAAATTTAGCCCTATATATCCAATTGTAAACTTACATAGCGTTTGATTCAATAATGTCATTTTGAGGCATTTGTCTTGCATTTTACACATGCATCTCTAAACAAAGAAATAAGAACAAGAATGTTCATTGCAGCATACTTTGAAGAACAAAAGTGTGCAAAATCTCTAAATGTGAGGTGTAATAAATGAGTTAAATCAATTTCAGGCCACCCATACATGAAATACTACTACTCTGCAGCTGTGAAAAGCAAGGGGAGCTATAGAGCTGGTAATGAAAATATTACCAAAATATGATGTTAAAAAAGAGAGAAATATTGTGTGTGTGTGTGTGTGTGTGCGTGCATGTGTATGTGTGTGTGTGTATGTGCGTGTGCATGTTTTAGAAATATACGCAAAAGACATTACCCTGAAAATTGAGACTGGAGGGCAAGAATGGAGGGGAGGATCACTTTTCACATTATAACTACTTTAATGTTTGGAATTTTTTGCATATACATAAATTGCTTTTTAAATTTTTTTAAAAAAGGAAAATAAAATCCAAACCTGGAAGTTAAGGTCAGCATTAATTAGCGTCCTTATAAACTTCATATTTTCATAACCTGACAATCAATACTTTTTACAAAATTATTAAAACAGATTAATAATATAATTTCACATCACAATTTCTCGCCTTAATATTTATCCCCTCAAGGCAAAAATAATCTTGGAGACCAGTGAAAGACAAAGAGACATTCTATAATAAATGTAACCTTTTTAAATCCTAATGATGCAACTTTGAAAGATTCATGCATATTAAATGAAACTATATGAACTTAATATCATGTGTGTGATTTAGAAAACAGAGTGCTAGAATTACATGCAGATAATCTGGACTTGAAGTTGGCTGTACCACTTATTTGGACAAGGTATTCAATCTTTAAAAGCCTCAATTTGTTGAATGACAAAATAGAGATATGGGTAACAACTGTATAGTATAGTCATGAAGATTAAACTCTGACATATTAAAGTGTAACAAAGTTTCCAAGACATTTAGAATAATGGGATGACTATCCAAAAGAGATTATCTTTGTGGTATTGTCTACAACAGAATCTTCAGGCCAAAAAATGGTTAGCGGTCCCAGCAGATCCAAAGTAAATTCCAAAAAGCTATAAAAACAAGAGAATGGAAACCACATGCAACTTAATAGAGTCTCAATTCACTAAGCAACTCCTGACCAACATGGAAAGCTCAGAGAGCTGTGTGTGTTATATTCAGCTGGATGAATTTTGAATGCTTTTTAAATACCCTTTAATTTGTTGTTGTTTTTAATGATTCGATTGAGAATTTTTAGGGTCTACTAAAGGAGCATTTTATTTATTACTTAGCACGAGCTCTTTTCTTCCAATTTTCTTCTCTCTCTGTTTTCTGCCTCTTCTTCCATTACATAAATAGATAGAGCCATGCCATATGTGTAATTTGCTTCAATTTCACTCTTTATCCCCTTATAGAAAGATGTTTTAAATGGACTATACCAACAGAACTAGAGGTGCTAACTAGATCAAACAGTTAATTCTGAAATTTTTGAAGGTTTTCCCTGACATTTGTTTATGTTGGCTTTTCCATTTAGTTTCTAGGAAAATTGTATCACTATGACAGTTAATTCAAATCCCAGCAAGACCTGGTAAGCAAATAACTTGCCAAGTTTTAACTAGAAGTACTCCTTAGCCTTTACCAAAAGAAGGACCAATTTGAGGTGTATTTCTATAATGGATGAGCCTTCTGTCTGAGTATTCCATTACCTCATTCATTTTAAAGTCAATTTAGAAATTGTGGACAGTGCCAAATTTACAGCCCTGAGTCCAGACTCCCTTTTTTAGTCTACAAAAGAGTCATTGCATAAGTTGTCATGCTGCAAGCCTTTTGAGCCAGCTTCACTCCATCACATACTTTTTTTCTCCTGAGGGGCTCAAAGGTTTCAGACTCTTAGGCTATCCAATAATGTAAGCACCATTAAAGATCAGTAAATCTAACAAAACATTGAATCTCTATCTTATGGGGTATTATCACATACAAACAGAGTGGGTTGGCAAAGGCAACCGAGCTCTAAAATACCCAAGACTTAAGCCACTGAATATTTTTGTGTTTGCTCTATGATTACAAGTTAGTAATCAGGACGCTCATAAAATATTTAATTTTCCCGATGTTTTTAAGAGCTATCCGCTGAGAGATTTGTACCCTGTGAAGAGAGCAGGTTCAAGAGATGACAGATTAGACCATCTTCTCTAAGAAGAAATGATGTCATGGTTGTTTAGGGAGTTAAGCCTATTTGTGTGCATACCCCACCTATAATTAGCATTCTCTGAGGGATGGGCATAAGCATTGCTGGGATAGGATTACCCCTGCTGTTCCACAGTATCACTGCTATTGTGAGGCTGGTTACATAATTCTGTCAAATGTCCTGAGGCACAAGGGCACAAAGAGCATTGGCCCTACCAGAAGGCTCATTTTTCGTCACACATGTCCTGCTTTTTGCTGTTTAAGTCTTTTCCCTGCAGTTTTTTCTCCTGAAAATATTCACGTTTCCTCTAGATGACCAATGTGAACTTTGCACGGATATTGGCTCAGTGATTTCTTGGTCCTAGAGCTTTGGTCAGTAGGGTAAAAGCTAACTGTGTCCACATGGAACTTCAAAATTAGGAAAGATGCATCTGTTTTCAAGTGCCAGGGGCAAGCAACAGGAAACAAGATCTAGGAACTGGGATTTGAGAGAGGAGTAAAATCGAAGCTTCCAAAAAGAAAATTAAAAAAAAACAAAAACTGGGAAGCATGTTCAAGGCTCATTTTTAATAAGAGAGAATGGCATAGTTCAAGGAAGCATCAATCTGCTTGAAAGTCTAGAGCTAGGATAGCTGTGTGCCTTGTATTTTTTTTCCACCTAGTGCTGCTGTTTTCATCCCCCACCACGTAACTCAGATATCATCTCTCTGAAGACTTCTGAAACTCTCTTTCCTGACTCTCAATGGAATGAATCATTCCCCCCTTTGAGCTCTCTCAAGACTTGTTCAAATTACCTAGTTTGGAACTTATCATTTTAATATAGTTAGCTACAGATTTATCTTCTTGAGTTGAGGCCAGGTATGGTACTTTATTCCTCTTTATATCCCTAAAACCTAACCAACTCATAAGGTAAATGCATAATTTAGATTAGATGAATTGAATTCAGATATTACTTGCATCCTCCATGAGATCAGATTATGCATATAACAGGTCACAGAAGCTATAATGAACAAGAGCTTATTACCTATTTGATTAATTCTATAGCCATCATGAAAATGTCTTAGGATATCTTTGGATTAAAGAGAAAATCTGTTAACAAATTGGGCACAGGAAAATAAAACAAAAAAATTACTGGAATTATCATGAGTATATGGATCAAGTGAGGTGAAATTCAGAGAGAAGATAAATTTATTTTCAACAGCTGACTCGAGGAAGAGCGAGTTGGTTGATGGGGAGAAATAATTCCATAGAGCCACCTACTGTGGGAGAATATTAAATATCTATGATAATTGTGATACCAATAACTTTCAAAAGAAAGGAATGATATTTATATTACTATAGTCGCTTCTGTGAAACATTTGGATAATTTTAGTTCAAGGTTTTAATCTTTCTAATTTTCATAGCTTTCATAGTTGCAGTGCCCTGTCATGTTCGAGAAAGAGTGCTTATTCATAAGAAGCTGAATCTTCATTCTTTAGTCATTAGTAAAAATGGGTCATAGATCATGTCATGTTGTCTATAACCTAGTTATAATTCTGGCAGGAGGGAATTTTCAAAATCATGATTTCATATAGAAACCTTTAAAAACTCATTAGCTTCTGATAATTATACTAATATCTAAAGCATTAAAATCATGGAGCTAATTTCGGCAAAAGATCAGCAGCGAACGTGTTCTGGGGGAAGTTTTCTCTTTCAACTTCCTGGGAACAAAATAGAAGGCAGTTCAGGGCTCTAACATAACACCCTATTTCAGATGCAGAAGAGACAGAATTTCACGGAAGCATCGCATCGTGAGTTAGCGGATTCTAAAATGAAAAGCAAGAATATTAGAGCAACATCTCTAAATGTGACTCTGGGCACTGGAGAAGCCTCTCCACTTGTGATTGATTTGCATTTCTGCCTATGTCTGAATTCATATTCCATAAGCACAGATGGAGGTGTGATAGATTTTTTTTTGAGCACATCTATTTATTCAGATACCGGATTCAGTCTCTGAGTAGGGAGATGGTAAAGGCTGCTGTGAGCAGATGGCACATAGGCACTATGACTTTAGAAACAACATTCTTTAAAGAGAAGTGGCACCGTAATAATAATAATACTTAGCACATATATTGCACCTTTGGTCTGCCAACATTAACTAATTAATCTTCAGTAGACCCCTGTGAGATAAGTAAGTGCTTATAATCATCTCTATTATGCAGTCAAGTCAACTAAGAATGTGTCTGCACATACTGTGGAAGAATTGGCCCAAGTTAAAGACCGGGTGGATCCAATTTGCATGGCTCTTTAAGATTTCTGCTCTAGTAGCAGAGACTAGTATTTCTAGACACCCTGCTGTTTGAGGCACCAAGTAGTTTTGAAGCAGGCTATCAACCCAAGACATATTTCATTCAGAAGGTTTGTGCTGCAAGGGTCTAAAACAGGCCTAAGAAAAAGTTGAGTCATTTTTTTAAAGCCCAAAGGCCATGCCTGGCCAGAAGCAGGTGTGAAATTACAGAACCTCTGCCTGCTTTTCCTATTTGAAGAAGGCAATTTGCACATATCTTTAAAGGATATTTTTTAAAGTGTTGAACAACATTAAGAGTTCAGGGAAGTCTGGAGTTTTCCCTTAGTATTTGCTGCACCTGGGGCTTTTCCACTGAAGTTGGTTAAGTATGACCTATGGCTTTGACCAGAAATATTAATAACCCACATCAGAATGAAGGGCTGGTGAACTGCTTTATTATGGCATCTAATGGCTTAGATTCTGATGTTTTGATCCTTCTAACATAAAGGAGCGAAAATGTCAGTCTTGAGGATCTGAAATTTGGCATCTGCCATGATACCCAGAGATCCCTGCCTCAACTGAGAAATATGTAGCACAAAAACCTTTGTAAAATTGGGAGTATTAATACCCCACACACAAACTAATTATGAAGACTGAAGTAGAAAATATATGGTAGTGTCTTTCCATACGTGACACATGATAGATAAGTAGTAATACTTCAATCCCAAGCTACCTTTTGTTAGCAGCATAATCCTGGACAACTCACAACCTTTGAGACTCAGTTTACTCATCTATTAAATTGGGGTTAATTCTACCAACCACAAATAACTTAAAGAATCTACAGCAATGTCTATTCCTCTCAAAAGGGTAAGGGGTTTTTTATGACTATTTTAAAATCTTTTTGTTTTCTATTATAATATCTATTAGAACATGCTTTGCATCTGAAGTCACTAAACTTTACTTTTTAACCTTGGGAGGTGATCATCTTTGATCTTCTACTTTCCTCTTTTCCATTTTAAATCTGCTCTTGTTTTTGCAAGGGATCTCAAACTCAAATGTCTTGAAGGACAAGGGAGATAGCACTAAAATATAGAACTGCTAAATATATGACAATGGTCAGTGATGATGCTTAGAGGCAAACTATTGACAGCATGCCCTGATTGTAGCCATACAAATTGAAAGTCATTTTTAATACAAATCACATTTGGGGTACAAGTATTTTTCTTGGGTTATGAAAGAGATTTTCCTCCTGACATACCTAGCTCTTCTGTTCCCTTTGATCAGAGTGCTCTCTTCGTTCACCTCGAATGTCAAAGTCCTTCCATTTAAAAAAGTCCACGTTACATCCAAGCTCTCCCATGAAGTCATTCCTGACCTCCACAGTTCATGATGATCTCTTCTTACCCTGAATTCACAAGTTTTATCTTCTGAACACCTAATTTGGCATTGATGAATGCCATGTGGTACCTATATTTTTAACCCACCATAAATAAGTACAATAACTAATAAATATTAGTTATTATAATTGTCATAATATCTTCATCCTCAAGTAGATTTTTTTCCTACTCTGCCTGGCCCAGAGAAATGATCATAGAGATATCTTACATATTTATAACAATGTACGGTTTGCCAAATGGTGGGGCAACACTTAGTCTTCATCAAATACTTACATGGTAGTATTAGCCGTCTATAATGGAGGAAGAAATTAAGGTTCAGAAAAGCATAGCAAATTCAACAAGGACACACAGCTAGAATGTAAACCATCAGGAAACAGAGAGCTTCTAATTCCAAGACCAGTCTAGAAGAAGAATTCATCAATGATGGCAAATGTGCTGATCAGCAGCCTTCTCTAATGTAATCCCTAAACTAGGCTTTTTCCTTCTCTGAATCATACAAGCTTTAATATATATGAATCAGTCAGTAAATTATTAATAAGTCATGTCTTCTAGTTAGATTATAATTACATTGAAGGAAGATCTTATACCAGGTATTTTAAAATTTGCCTCTAACCCCTTGCTATAACAATTGGCATCCTTTGAATACCTCATAGAAATTTTAAAAATACGTAACACTTGGGATTCTAATCTCAGTTTGACTACACATTTTTTCATGTGACCACTGAGAGAATCAGCAGGTATTTATTGCAATCACTTTATCTGGATATAGAGAGAAAATGCAACTGCCGATAAAATGATAAACAAAAATACATAATCTCTTGGGCTGTTACTGAATCTATTCCATTTAATCCAGTTATTTTTCTTAGGTTGAAAAAATATTAAAATATAAGTGAAGTACCTTGGATGATAGGTCTCAGAGTTCCTCTGACAGCCCAACTCTCAGAAATCATGGTATCCTTTGTGAAAGTTCACAAAATATTAATCAGTTCCATCTCATTCACAATAATTCGCTATAAATGTTGGTCTGTTGTGTTTGGAATTTTATTTTGTTTATTAATGTTAAACTTAGAGTAAAGGAATAGAATGCAAAGTGATCATCGAGATCACTGGGGTTTATTCCTCAAAAGCTGCTATTTATGGCAAACATTGGTGTATTTGTACTTTAATACTCTTCTCTTGTTGATTCATTGTTCTCACTAGACTATGGGGAATACTAGACACCAAACCTTGAAAAATAATCATGAGATTAACACTAAAAACTGGGATATTTCAAGTAACAATTATTTTTCTAGAAATCTGAACAAAATAATGACTACCTGATTTTGGTAATAAAGTACAATGCACAGCCTATAGAATACCTAGTTGGATGCATAACATCTGAAAACTCCTACCTGATAAATTAAGATATATCTGAAGTGTTCCTATAGTTTGTCCATTATTAAAAATAGTGTATAAACATGTTTATTTCTTCATTTACCTGTCATATTTGTCCGTTTTTTTTTTAAAGAGTGCAAACCATGCACACTTACAGAAACATAATTCTTTAAGAACACCTCCTTTCCTAACAAGGCAAATCCATGTCTGGGGGTTACAAGGAAACTGAAAGTCACAGCAGCCATAGGACAGACACTGGCCATCTATTTTGATGTTACAATAGCTACAGTGGAGTTTAAGCTTTTCATGTTTGCCCAGAGTTAAAAGCAGAAATCAAGACAAGTTCAAGAAGGGAAGAAAATTATATACTGTATCACCATATGATATTTTGCTCCCTGACTCCAACCCCCTCAACCCTAGATTGAGTCTGGCGAAGGTAATCATTGTGAAGTTAAAGATTTAGAGAGAGAGAGAGAGGTGGAGAAATAGAGGGGTTGAAGATAAGTCAACAAGAATATTTTTCTTGTCAGCAGTAAAATGTATTTATGAATGCTTCATTGCCATTCTGATGGTGATAGAAGGAGGATTGCAGAAGTCACAATAATGACATAACTAAAGGAGCAAATTCAGTTTTCCCTCATTTCAGTAAATATCCCTCATTCATTTTATCCATCAGTTCTAGGAAAGCTCTCTTTTCAGAGCATTTGTTCTCGGCTCAGTGAAGCTGTACAGGTGGTACTGCCTCAGCAGGAAACTGTCTTCTTGCTGAGGGACCGCCAATTATTTGTAGTGAAACTAAAACAGAGGAATAAATATTACATGTTGATGGATGCTTGTCAGGAAAGGGAGTGAGGTACTTTCAATGGGGCTTGTCAGACACAAAAACCTTCAGCAAATCTGCATTTTCAATGGCAAAGTGGCTAGAATTTTCCAGCTGCTTCACTGGTGAACCTCAAGATTTATCTCATAAATTTAAATTATAGATGACATAGCACTGGAATGGAAATAGATGACACCTTTAAAAATAAATCTAGTGCAACATTTGGGAAAAGGAATCACACATTTAAAAGGGAAAAAAGAAAGTTCCAATGTGCCAAAACAGAGCTTTTATTTGTTGTCCTATTTACTATTCTCTGTCTAAAATTAGCATCTCTCTTACTTTTCCTCTTTAGTCCCCTGTACACGACATGCTGTGGAGGAGCTAAGAAAGTTTTGTGCAATTCAAGGAGTAAGCTGGGTTGCAACTATAACAAAAAGCTTGCCAAGGTTGGGAGCCAAACTGGCAAGGTTTTCTGTTGTGTCAGCGTTTAAGTATTATTGCAATGTTATCGTATCACTGAAGAAAGGGGAACATAGAAACAGCAGAGCCAAATGCTAAGGAACATTTGAAGGAAAGCGTGTACCTAGCTTCAATAGAGAGTTTGACTGTATTAGACGGGGCTTAACTTTAATAGGAACCAGTCAATTCAACTTTAATTTGATCATATGAAATAGTGTTTTTAAAAATTTATTCCAGCAGATCTTGATTCCAGCAGTCTTTCCAAATCAGATGATGGTGAAGAATAATAAAGAATATAGGTCTGAAAACCGGCAACATCAGATCAAGACTTGCTTGCATTATAAGCAAATTTCCACTGGCCAGAGCAGGGAGAATAATTTTCTCCTGGAGGGAAATTTGAGAGCAATAAATTTGAGGATTTTCCCCCTTTCATGATGTTATTCACATGTCCAGGTAAAAGTCAATTAAAATTTGGAACATTTGTCATAAGAAACCACAATAGAACTCATGATTTGAGCAACAATTAAACCAAAATCGTAAGAGTCAATTGAGAAAAACACACAAATGAGAGCACCAGCTAGAAGCAAAATGAGTTAAATCCAAGCCATAACCTGTTATTAACATAAAAATGTTTATTGAGGGGGGAACAAGTGTAGCAACATTTTGATCATCCCTTGCAAGATATTATGAATGTCAGGCTGCACTAGATTAGAAGCTTTTATTTCTATTTTTATTTTTTAGCACTACGTAAAAAGCAGAAGAAACACACAGAAAAAAAAGAGCTCTTCCTGAGATAACTTTTCTCACCACCATTGATCATTTCTGTTCTTCTTTTCAGGTCAGGCATGGAAGTACTCATGTTTGGCTCAGAGGTTGTTAAAATTGAAGTGGTTAATTTAAGAGCTTTGCTCAGGTTCACTATTTGCCTCACTTGATTTCTAATTGCTTGTAGTTAGAAGGAGTCAAATATATTCTCACCTAGTGATCAGTTTTGGTTTTCAAGTGACACTCTGCATGTGGAGCTCAGAAAAACCAAACACCTACAGGAATGTGTTGAAGAAACCAGATAGCAAGGCCGCCAAGTGACTCAGACTCTGCTTCCATTCCCTAGGGTTTATCAACTTTGTTAATGGGGCATATGTGCTGAGAATTATATAACATTAAACATGGGGAACATTTCCTGGAAAAAATTTCCATTCTTCCTCAAAGCCAATGCATTGAGAGGTCTAGTGTCCAGGTAAAACACCACCCTCTAGTGTACATCTCTAAATAATATTGCTGTGACTCCTCTGATGATAATGGTTATGACAGTTGAGAATATTAAAACAAGTATTACAATGAGGATCATCTTCTATTAATATGCAGAATGGAGCACATGCAAAGACTAAATGCATAATGAGTGATCAAAATAATTGTTGATTTTCACTCAAAATGAAGCAAATTGTTGACTAAATGAAATAATTCAACACTGACTTAAAAAAAGACAAAGCTCATTAGTTTTAGGAGTATTTATTGAGTATATAGTGTGGGATATATGTTGTTCTACGACTGAACAAAGACAATAGTCATTTACGCTGAAAAATGGAAGAAAACTATTCTAAGAGGCGAATGCAGGATACATGAGGGATCCCCACGACGCCTGTTTTTTGGAAAATAATATAAATTGCTGGGATCAAGGTGATATTTGATTACCTAAAGAACACTAAAATGTGATAACAGAAACATAAAAATGTTTCTTGGAAATCCTCAATGTAATTGCCAAATAAAGTGTAAATTCTCCTGTTCCATAAGGAGAAAAACTAATGGACACATGTCTAGATTAAAAGCTTTTTTTGATGTCATATAGCCAGATTCCAAGTGAATCAAAGGAGTAGATGGAACAGCTGAAAGTATTCTACACCTGGCACGAAGAGTGTTGAAAAATCCTATAAAGACATTTTTGTCATTGCTCCTTCTCTCTTTGTACAGAGCTCAAAGAAATTTAACTCTTTTGTCAAAAATATCTGCAGCTCCTTTCTACACTCATGAATCTCTCAGAAAAATTTTTTTTCTTAATCATTTCTGATCTAAACTGTTGGATGTAGAATTGGCCTCTGCATAAAAGTGTGAAGTATTTAAGTGGTAAAATTCTGCCCATAGAACACACAGTGTAACAAATTCATACATATTTTCTCAAATAATATTTTCAAAATGCATTACTGAAATTCCTTCTTTGGTATTTTCCAATGGAATCAGAAAAAGTTTAGGATTTCCATCTACCAAAAAAATCATTGCTCATCAATGTAATCTTTTAGCTATCAGCAAGTTATTTACACTTTTGCTATGAGCGAATCTTTTCTCATATACCCACAATGGTGATCTAACTGCTTCAAAACATTTTTGGAAGTAGTTGGAATTTAATTAAATACTTATGTATGTATGCATGTATGCACTCTAAGTTTTCATGTGTACATATAGTAAACATCAGCTAAATACAATGTACTTAGGTTTAAAAAAAATCCCCTAAAGGAAAAAGATAGTAAAATTGCCCTAGAATTTGTCTTATTTTTACAGCTAAGAAAGAAATCCAATTCATTAACACCCTGACTCTGATTCTAACTAGGTATAGGAGTTGAGAAAAATAACTTTTCTTCAAAGATCACAGATTCCCAGTTCATATAATGTGTAGTAGGATGGAATAATGGCACAAGTCCCTCTACATGGTAATAGTCTATGACTAGTAAGTCTTAGTAGTTTGGCTCTCTAATTAATATTAAAATATAATATTATATTATTTGGGGAAATTTTAGATTAACATTGATTATAATCAATGCCAAAAAAAAATCAGAAAGAAAGACCTTTAAATAATTCCGTCTAGTGCTGGTGCCTTCCTCTCTTGGTCTAATGCTGTGTAAGCACAGCAGTTAGCAGGGCAAGATGAGAAATGAGGCTGCCTGGATTGGAATCCCAACTCTAATATTACTAGTTACTTGGCCTTAGTTACTTAACTTCTCTGTGCCTTATATTTCTTACCAGTAATGAGGGCATAAAAATAGCACGTCTTCTGCTTTGTAAGGTTGTTTTGAGGATCAAGTGAAATTAACATATAAAGCTTTTAGCACAGTTTACATAAATCGGTAATTCAACAAGTTTTTTTTACTATTAGTAATATTCTAACAAAGAATAAAGAAAACAATGACAAGAGGAAAAACACTCCAATTTTTATTTTAACAGAATGTTTGAAGAAAAGCTGATTTTTAAAATCCACATCAAATGGTTAATGATCTCCAGTTATGTCTCTACAATTGGCATCATCAGTGATTAGGAATACAGGTAGCATCTGCCAAAGCACTAGTTTGTGCTATGAGAAAGAGCATGTTTGAACCATGGGTAGTTTCAGTGAGATATAGCTAAGCTGCTAGAAATGGGTAATGTGTATTGAATGTAGGTAGGAGGGCATCCGCTGTGAAGGCATTCTTTCTCACTGGGTTTTCAAAAGCACATCAATAAGAATGAACAAATAGCCATGCAAGCATCTGCTACCATACATATGGAATGAAGGTAGACAGAAAGGCACATTATAACTGTGGTGAACGTAGCAACCTACCACAGGAAAACTGTATTATTTAGTTAACCCAACAATATACTTTGACAGGTTCTTTAAAAAATAAACTAAACTCCACATTCTGAAATTTATCAAATGATTTTCTTCAAATAAATATCCATGCTGTGTTTCAATATTCTTTAAGCCTTGACATTTATGTTGAGTTATAAACTTGCTATGAAAATGGGAACCTGGATTCCTCTGAATGAAAGTCTTTTGGTGAATTGATAAACAATTCTCACTGCAGTTTAATAGATTATCTCTAAATTTCAAGTCCAAATGTCAGAGCTGGAGATGGTAAAGACTGAAATAGTAGAGGTTTTGTTGATGCTTTCTATCCTATTATTGTTTTTATAAAGGTTTTTGTTCCAAATGAATACAACACATCATATAGTCTCTAGTTAGCACTGGCAGGAAAAAAAAATGAATTTGAAGGGTTCAAAGAGACTAAATAGACAGAGAATATGATCTAAGGATATCAGCTTCTATATATGTATTTAATGTATTTAGTAGTGTGTATAAAATGAAGTGGGCTTTGAGTAGAGTGCATTATCTATAAAGAGTGCAAAAACACTCTGAAATTAAATTCATATTTTGCGAACTCTGACAGAAATTAAGAACTGAGGCCAAACTGACACTACTTAGCAATCAACAAGAGTTGTCCATGTATTCATCGGCTGTACTGGGCACATTTAGCACAATTGATCAGGCTAACTTTGAGAAAGATCATAAGGATATAAAGACTCCTTCGAAGCAGTAGGAAAACGAATAGCTGAATGGAGAAAATTGTACCACACATCTTCTTGTCCTATTACTGTTAACGCCAGCAGTCACAATCAGTAGTTTATTGTATAGGGCAATCTTGTTGATTAGAAACTGGATTCAAGTTTATCAAAATGAAATGGCATGTAACTCATCCCTTCTATTCCTACAGAAATAACTTATGCATCTTGATAGTCACTTTTATTTGTAGAACTATATTATGTAATAAGAATTGGCTTTGGCAATGTGTATAGTGCCTTGTCAATCACTTCTGCCATTCATTTCTTGAAGAAAGTAGAAAACAAATCAGCAAAAGAAGTCTCACTTTCTGTAGCAAAAAAAAAGTGATTTTTATGCTACTTTTATTAGAAAGGCTTGAAATATTTGTCTTGAGATCCAATTGCTTTGTCATATTATTTGGACTATCTTGATGTGGGCACTTTGTTAAAGGCCCCTATGTATAGTTGTTAATTTAATGATCTAAAATAAACAGACTTAAGAAGAGGAATAACATTTCCAGAATTAGCCAGGAAGTCACTAGGTGGAAAAACAATGCAAAACCAAGAAGTTTTAAGTTCATCTCTAGCCACTAACTCCTTTCTCTGGCATGTAACATCAGCTCATTTCCCCTAGTCCTGACCCAAATAGGTGAGGATAAACAAAGTTAGTTGCTTAGCAACAGGACTGCTGAGCAAAGAGGTAGAATTTGCTTTAATGTTGCTTCTTCGGCTGATCATTCAAGGTCCTTGCAGATCATGCAACTTCTAAAACCAGCAACTCTCCAGAAATACTGACTTAGGTCAAGAATAATGTTTATAATCATATACTGAATAGAAAGGCATGTAAATAGCAACAATTTAAATAATTATTATTAAATTAACATTTTTTGAGGTCTCTGATAGTTTTAAGTGTTTTATACATGTTAACTCATACAAAATGGAGAAAATATGAAAATTATATATTGAATATAAATTCAAGAGAACACTTAATATATGCATATATCAAAAATATACTATATCTATTCAAAAAATTAAAAAATATAGTTACTAGGTGGGCGCATGAGGCAAGGAATAACGAAGACATTAACAAATGTGTATGTACTTTGTTTAAAAATATATCTATGAATACTTTATTGATGTGAACTTTTCTTTCGAAGATCTTAAAACACTTTATTTCCTTTTTCAACTTCTCTGAGAATTGAATACAGTACCTGTAAGTTTGCCCTTGTACAAAAAGTAAAAAGAGAAAGTGTAAAGATCATAAAGTCATTGCCTCTGCTTAAAGCAGAAAGATTAGTCATGTAACTAGCTCAGGAGCTTTAGTTAAATTTTCCACTTTTACACTGGATGGTGTGTGTGTGTGTGTGTGTGTGTGTGTGAAATTTCAGCATCACAACTCAACTAGTACACAAGGAAACATTTCCTAGGCAAATAAAATTGTGTCAAAATAATTTGTTAGTTACCTTTACCAATTCAGTTATTTACCTTTACCAATTCAGTTATTTTAAAACGATCAGTTGTTTGGGCCTCAATCTAAGGGTATTGATCACTAAATTTCACAAGGAAAGGACTAGGAACACAGTATCCTTATTTTCCCTACTTATACAGGCACAATATAGCAATGGAGCACTGAAGACATTCCAAGAAAAATAAATGATTCCAGACATATCAAAATTCAGCATTTTCTATGCATAATTTAAATGCCAATTTACTTGTTTTGAAAGAGGAAATTATTCCGTGGCTGATAGAAAGACTGCAAACTTTACTTAAAACTTCTTTAAATCTAGGTGGTCATCCCACTAAAGAAGGTGTATTCTGTGGTCTTTTAGATCCTGTAGATTTACTTTCGGGGAAAAAAAGTTCACAATGAGAACAATAGTTCCAGACACCACAGATGGAAATTTAAATGTGGTGTGATACTGCACATCAGGAGCCAGCTAAGGTAACTGTGTTGCAATCTGTGAGTTACTCTTGTGAAACGATTCCTTGGCATTTTCTTAACAAGAGCAGGGTGTTAGTGCCAGTGTTTTGGCTTGCATCCATTTTCCAGTGTATGAGCTCCAACCACCAATACTTTTTCTACATTTCACATCTTAAATGATTTTAGGGTTATGCAATTCATGTTAATATTTTTTATTAAACATATACTTCACTCACAGCAGCACAAATCCTATTAAGTGTTTAGAGATTCCTCAGGAAAAATGTATGCTGTTCTTGAGCTACAGTAACTGCAATCTTATGTCTTTTTTAAACCCTGCCCTTCCCCCCCGCCCCCCCCCAAAAAAGACCTGTTTGGACCGAATATTATTTACCAAAAAATAATTGTCTTTTTAAAAAAAAAAAAAAAACCAAGGCCCCGATTGCATTTTCTCACATTATTCAGTTCTTAATCAAGTTAAGTGCTTTTATAAATGTAAACCGACTTTAGGACAGGGATAAATAAACATAAAAATAGAGGAGACTAGGACACACACACACATACACACATACTGCACAGCACGTAATATCTGGTAGCACATTGGAATTTTTATCTTTAAAATGTTTTTCACTTATGGAAATAAAATATATAAAATATAGATGTATAGTTTAAATATAATTTTTTCATTTTATCTGTTTTCAATATTTTTAATCTAATGAAAGCTAAACAAATAAGTGACAAATGATTTGTTTAAATAGCACATTAATTTCAAATACAAAATGTTTTGAGGATTAAATCTCTTGTTATGTTTTTAAATATTTAAGTATCTCTAATAAGATACCATAAGTAATCAAAAGTTGATATAGACTCAAACTTACTTTTTACTCTTTCATTTTTATTCAATCATTCTTATAATTATATTATGAAATCTCTTTTCAAATCAGTCCAGCCATTTAATTCTCCTTGCATTCTACTGCTACTACTGATTTATTGAGCACTCACTTGGTGTTTAGAACTTAATATATATACTCCCATTTAATTTTCACACCCACACTTTAAAGTAGAAAGTATCATTGTCATTATATAGGTGAGAAATCTTACACTTAAAAATGTTGAACTTGTTCAAGTCACATAGCTAAGAAGCAAGAAAGTCAAGGTTGAAACATAAAGTTGGCTAAGTTATAGTCTTTAACTGTATATATAGTTATTAGCAATGATAAACTATGTCATGTAAAATCTCATCTTTTTTTACTGATGATTTGGCTCTCTGTTTGTCTGTTATTGGTGTATAAGAATGCTTGTGATTTTTGTACATTGATTTTGTATCCTGAGACTTTGCTGAAGTTGCCTATCAGCTTAAGGAGATTTTGGGCTGAGACAATGGGGTTTTCTAGATATATAATCATGTCATCTGCAAACAGGGACAATTTGACTTCCTCTTTTTCTAATTGAATACCCTTTATTTCCTTCTCCTGCCTAATTGCCCTGGCCAGAACTTCCAACACTATGTTGAATAGGAGTGGTGAGAGAGGACATCCCTGTCTTGTGCCACTTTTCAAAGGGAATGCTTCCAGGTTTGCCTATTCAGTATGATATTGGCTGTGGGTTTGTCATAGATAGCTCTTATTATTTTGAAATACGTCCCATCATTACCTAATTTATTGAGAGTTTTTAGCATGAAGTGTTGTTGAATTTTGTCAAAGGCCTTTTCTGCATCTACTCAGATAATCATGTGGTTTTTGTCTTTGGTTCTGTTTATATGCTGCATTACATTTATTGATTTGTGTAAATTGAACCAGCCTTGCATCCCAGGGATGAAGCCCACTTGATCATGGTGGATAAGATTTTTGATGTGCTGCTGGATTCGGTTTGCCAGTATTTTATTGAGGATTTTTGCATCAATGTTCATCAAGGATATTGGTCTAAAATTCTCTTTTTTGGTTGTGTCTCTGCTGGCTTTGGTATCAGGATGATGCTGGCCTCATAAGATGAGTTAGGGAGGATTCCCTCTTTTTCTATTGAGTGGAATAGTTTCAGAAGGAATGGTACCAGCTCCTCCTTGTACCTCTGGTAGAATTCGGCTGTGAATCCATCTGGTCCTGGACTCTTTTTGGTTGGTAAGCTATTGATTATTGCCATAATTTCAGAGCCTGTTATTGGTCTATTCAGAGATTCAACTTCTTCCTGCTTTAGTCTTGGGATGCTGTCTGTGTCCAGGAATTTATCCATTTCTTCTAGATTTTCTAGTTTTTTTGCATAGAGGTGTTTGTAGTATTCTCTGATGGTAGTTTGTATTTCTGTGGGATCAGTGATGATATCCCCTTTATCATTTTTTATTGTGTCTATTTGATTCTTCTCTCTTTTCTTCTTTAGTAGTCTTGCTAGTGGTCTATCAATTTTGTTGATCCTTTCAAAAAATCAGCTCCTGGATTCATTAATTTTTTGAAGGGTTTTTTGTGTCTCTATTTCCTTCAGTTCTGCTCTGATTTTAGTTATTTCTTGCCTTCTGCTAGCTTTTGAATGTGTTTGCTCTTGCTTTTCTAGTTCTTTTAATTGTGATGTTAGGGTGTCAATTTTGGATCTTTCCTGCTTTCCCTTGTGGGCATTTAGTGCTATAAATTTCCCTCTACACACTGCTTTGAATGTGTCCCAGAGATTCTGGTATGTTGTGTCTTTGTTCTCGTTGGTTTCAAAGAACATCTTTATTTCTGCCTTCATTTCGTTATGTACCCAGTAGTCATTCAGGAGCAGGTTGTTCAGTTTCCATGTAGTTGAGCGGTTTTGAGTGAGTTTCTTAATCCTGAGTTCTAGTTTGATTGCACTGTGGTCTGAGAGACAGTTTGTTATAATTTCTGTTCTTTTACACTTGCTAAGGAGAGCTTTACTTCCAACTATGTGGTCAATTTTGGAATAGGCGTGGTGTGGTGCTGAAAAAATGTATATTCTGTTGATTTTGGGTGGAGAGTTCTGTAGATGTCTATTAGGTCCGCTTGGTGCAGAGCTGAGTTCAATTCCTGGGTGTCCTTGTTAGCTTTCTGTCTCATTGATCTGTCTAATGTTGACAGTGGGGTGTTAAAGTCTCCCATTATTATTATGTGGGAGTCCAAGTCTCTTTGTAGGTCACTCAGGACTTGCTTTATGAATCTGGGTGCTCCTGTATTGGGTGCATATATATTTAGGATAGTTAGCTCTTCTTCTCGGATTGATCCCTTTACCATTATGTAATGGCCTTCTTTGTCTCTTTTGATCTTTGTTGGTTTAAAGTCTGTTTTATCAGAGACTAGGATTGCAACCCCTGCCTTTTTTTGTTTTCTATTTGCTTGGTAGATCTTCCTCCACCCTTTTATTTTGAGCCTATGTGTGTCTCTGCACGTGAGATCGGTTTCCTGAACACAGCACACTGATGGGTCTTGACTCTGCATCCAATTTGCCAGTCTGTGTCTTTTAATTGGAGCATTTAGTCCATTTACATTTAAAGTTAATATTGTTGTGTGAATTTAATCCTGTCATTATGATGTTAGCTGGTTATTTTGCTCGTTAGTTGATGCAGTTTCTTCCTAGCCTCGATGGTCTTTACAATTTCGCATGATTTTGCAGTGGCTGGTACCGGTTGTTCCTTTCCATGTTTAGTGCTTCCTTCAGGAGCTCTTTTACTGAACTAATTCAAGGTTGTCTGGTTAAGCCTCTGTAAAGCTATCTTACCCAGAACTTCTGAGCAAAATTAATAGTAACTTCTTTTTCTAGATCTGAGTAATGGTGGTTTCTCATAAAAATATGAGTAGAAGTTTCTAAATGTATCTATTTTTTATTTGATTTGTTATGATTCAATATTTTCCGCCAAAATGTTGGGATGATCAGGAAAAACCTTTAAAGGGAATAAGAATATCTAAACAATTGGAAATGGAGTTAAATGCTCTAGAAGAAACAAACGATCCAATTAAATTATAATTAGGGACAGAGATTTACCCAAACAGCACATTGTCATAGTCAAGAGACAGAGTGAAATTTTAAAAAGCAGATCAAACCAAAGCCAGATGACAGACAAATAGGTGGTTTAGGATATGAAAATACATGAAATGTATGAAGTGAAGAATCATGAACATATTCATGGCATACTTTTGAAAATACAGAAGCATTGTTTCACATCCAGTTCCAAAAGAAGTGAAGCTAGATAAATTCAGGAAGAAGCAAAACAATCACATTTTAAAGCCACAAGCATCCTGAGTTTATTCCTTATTAATGAACTGAAACTTCCTCTAGAATAATAAGGCGGGGGGAGTAAAAGGTCTAAAATGGGCATTTTCAGAGTATTACTATAAAGAGAAAGAACGCTATAATTCAACCACTGAACTGAAATCTGAAATCCTTAAAGTGCATTTTTAGGCTGCTGATCCTAACCTCCTACGGACCAATTACAGCTAAATAATTGTTGTTGGTATGACAACGTCAGGGAGAAACAAAAGACCACTTTCTTTAAGTGAAGCCGCAAAGTTGTTCTTTAGAACAGAAAATAAGAAGGGGTGGCTATACATTATGGCAGCATATGAGATCACATTGGTTAATGACATTATTCTTCCAATAATGTTATTAAGACCACAAACGGTTGTGGAGGGCTAACACATGTACATCATTGATTGTACATTTCAGCTGTCTTAAATCTAAGAGTTGATTATCAAAGACAAATTGGTTATTTTATTCACATGACTAGTCAGCAAGGCACTTAAGCACTGTTTCAAATTCATGTCTTAGGTACAACTCTAGTTTCACATGTCAGTAGTAAATATGTTCAGAGGTCTGATGGTCAAAGCCCATGTACATATTATTTTCACAAATCTTGCAAATGGTCACTTTTCTTTTATGTAAAAAGTGATATTACCAATCATACGCAAATGAAGTTATCCACAGTCTTTATTGATTTAATGCAGATATACTCTTGATTTCAAAAGAAATAATTGTACAAAACTACACATATTGATGTAGGATTTGATGATTTTTGACCTGTATACACCCATGAGACCATCATCACAATAGAGATAATGGAGATATGCATTACCCTCCAAGATGGTTCTTGTGCTCCAATGTTATGTGACCCTTCATTCTTTCTCTCTCACCTGCCATCCCCAGGGAGTCACTTGTTTTCTATCAACATAGATTAGTGCGTATTTTCTAGGGTTTTATGTAAACGGAATCATAGAATAAGTACTCTTTTCTGTTTGGCTTATTACAGTTAGCATAACTGTTTTGAGATTTATCCATTTTGTCATGATCCTTGTTATTACTGAGTAGTAGCTTATATAGTTTATTTTTCTAGTCAATTTTTGATCATCATTTGGTTGGTTTTCTTTTTTTGCCTATTACAAATAAATCTGCTGTGAATATTTCTGTGCAAGTAATTATGTGGACATGTGCTATCATTTCTCTTGGGTAAATACCTAGAAATGGAACGGCTGTATCATATGATAGGCACACATTTAACATTTAACACACATATACATTAAAAATGTTTTTCAAAGTGGTTATATTTCATTTCAAATCAGTGTATCGCATTCTAGTCATTCCATGTCCTCACCATGAGTGGATGATGTGTTAAGTCAACCTAATTTTAACCATCTGAGTTGTGTGTTGGGATATCTAATTACAGTTTAATTTGCATTTTCTAATGACTAATAATATTGAGTATGATTTCATGTACTTATTTAGTATCCATATATCTTTTTTGGCAAATTGTCCAAACCTTTGCTCATTTAAAATATTAGATTGTTTGTTTACATATGATTGAGTTTTGTGGGTTCATTATGTATTCTGAAAACAAGTCCTCTATGAAATATGGGTTTGGGGTATCTTTCGCTTAAGTCTATACCTTATCTTTTCATTTTCTTAATAGTGTCTTTTGAAAATCTGAAACGAAATATATATAAATTTATATTTTTTACATTTATGGGTTGTGTTTTTGTCATATGTTAGAAATATTTTTTAACCAAAAGGGGATTTTTGGTTTTGTTTGTTTGTTTTTACTTTAAGTTCTGGGATACATGTGCAGAACCTGCAGTCTTGTTACATAGGTAAACGAGTGCCATGGTGGTTTGCTGCACCTATTGACACATTCTTTAAGGTCCCTCCCCTCGCCCACCACCTCCCAACAGACCCTAGTGTGTGTTGTTGCCCTCCCTGTGTCCATGCGTTCTCACTGTTCAACTCCCAGTTATGAGTGAGAACATATGGTGTTTGGTTTTCTGTTCTTGTGTTATTTTCCTGAGAATGATGACTTCCAGCTTCATCCATGTCACTGCAAAGGACATGATCTCATTCATTTTTATGACTGCATAGTATTCCATAGTGTATATGCACCACTTTTTCTTTATCCAGTCTATCATTGATGGGTATTTGTGTGGGTTCCATGACTTTGTTATTGTAAATAGTGCACAATAAACATATATATGCATGTGTCTTATAGTAGAATAATTCATATTCCATTGGGTATATACCCAGGAATGGGATAGCTGGAACAAATTTTATATGAGGTTCTAGATCCTTGAGGAATTGCCATACTGTCTTCCACAAAGGTTGAACTAATTTACATTGCCATTATCAGTGTAAAAGTGTTCTTGTTCTTTGCAGTCTTGCCAGCATCTATTGTTTCTTGCCTTTTTAATAATCAATATTCTGACTGATGTGAGATAGTATCTTGCTATGGTTTTGATGTGCATTTCTCTAATGATTAATGATGTTGAGCATTTTTTTCATATGTTTGTTGGCTACATAAATGTCTTCTTTTGAGAAGTGTCTGTTCATATCCTTTTCCCACTTTTTGATGGGGTTGTTTGTTTGTTTTTCTTGTAAACATGTTTAAGTTCATTGTACATGCTGGATATTAGGCCTTTGTCAGATGGGTAGATTGCAAAACTGTTTTCCTATTCTGTAGGTTGCCTGTTCACTCTGATGATAGTTTCTTTTGCTGTGCAGAAGCTCTTTAGTTTAATTAGATCCCATTAGTCAATTTTGGCTTTTGTTGCAATTGCTTTTGGCATTTTTGTCATGAAGTCCTTGCCCATGCCTATGTCCTGAATGTTATTGCCTAGATTTTCTTCTAGGGTCTTCATGGTTTTGGGTTTTACATTTAAGTTTTTAATCCATCTTGAGTTTATTTTTGTACAAGGTGTAAGGAAGGGGTCCAGTTTCAGTTTTCTGCATATGACTACCCAGTTTTCCCAGCATCATTTATTCAATAAGAGATCCTTTCCCCATTGCTTGTTTTTCTCAGGTTTGTGGAAGATCAGATGTTCGTAGATGTGTGGTGTTATTTCTGAGGTATCTATTCTGTTTCATTGATCTATATGTCTGTTTTGGTACCAGTACCATGCTGTTTCGGTTACTGTAGCTTTGTAGTATAGTTTGAAGTCAGGTAGCATGATGCTTCCAGCTTTGTTCTTTTTGCTTAGGATTGTCTTGGCTATATGGGGACTTCTTTGATACCATATGAAATTTAAAGTAGTTTTTTTCTAATTCTGTGAAAAATGCCAATGGTAGTTTGATGGGAATAGCATTGAATCTATAAGTTACTTTGGGTAGTATGTCCATTTTCATGATATTGATTCTTCCTATCCATGAGTATGGAAGGTTGTTCCATTTGTTTGTGTCCTTTCTTATTTCCTTGAGCAGTGGTTTGTAGTTCTCCATGAAGAGGTCCTCCACATCCTTTGTTAGCTATATTCCTAGGTGTTTTATTCTCTTTGTAGCAGTTGTGGAGGACAGTTCATTCATGATTTGGCTCTCTGCTTGACTATTGTTGGTGTATAGGAATGCTTGTGATTTTTGCACAATGATTTTGTATGCTGAGACTTTGCTGAAGTTGCTTATTAGCTTAAGGAGAATGGGGCTGAGATGATGGGGTTTTCTAAATATAGAATCATGGTATCTGCAAACAGAGACAATTTGACTTCCTCTCTTCCTATTGGAATACACTTTATTTTTTTCTCTTGCCTGATTGCTCTGGCCAGACCTTCCAATACTATGTTGAATAGGAGTGGTAAGAGAGGACATACTTGTCTTGTACTGGTTTCAGAGGAAATGCTCCCATTTTTTCTCATTCTATATGATATTGGCCATGGGCTTGTCATAAATAGCTCTTATTATTTTGAGTTACATTCCAACAATACCTAGTTTATTGAAAGTTTTTAGCATGAAGGGATGCTGAATTTTATTGAAGGCCTTTTCTGCATCTATTGAGATAATCATGTGGTTTTTGACATTTTTTCTATTTATGTGATGGATTAAGTTTATTGATTTGCATATGTTGAACCAGCACTACATCCCAGGGATGAAGCCGACTTGATCATGATGGGTAAGTTTTATGTTATGCTGCTGAATTCGGTTTGTCAGTATTTTATTGAGGATTTTTGCATTGATGTTAATCAGAGATATTGGCCTGAAGTTTTCTTTTTTTGTTGTGTCTCTGCCAGGTTTTGGTATCAGGATGATGCTGACTTCATAAAATGGGTTAGGGAGGAGTCCCTCCTTTTTAATTTTTTGGAATAGTTTCAGAAGAAATGGTATCAGCCCCTCTTTGTACCTCTGGTAGAATTTGGCTATAAATCTGCCTGGCCCTGGGCTTTTTTTGTTTGGTAGGCTATTAATTACTGCCTCGATTTCAGAACTTGTTATTGGTCTATTCAGGGATTCTCCTTCTTCCTGGTTTAATCTTGGGAGAGTGTACGTGTCCAGGAATGTATCAATTTTTTCTAGGTTTTCTAGTTTATTTTCACAGAGGTGGTTATAGTATTCTCTAATGGTAGTTTGTATTGCTGTGGGGTCAGTGATGATATTCCCTTCACCATTTTTTATTGTGTCTATTTTATTCTTCTCTCTTTTCTTCTTTATTAGTCTAGCTAGAGTTCTATCTCTTCTGGTAATTTTTTCAAAAAACCATCTCCTGGATTCATTGATTTTTTGGATTGTGTGTGTGTGTGTGTGTGTGTGTGTGTGTGTGTGTGTGTCTATCTCCTTCAGTTCTGCTCTGATCTTAGTTATTTCTTGTCTTCTGCTAGCTTTTGGATTAGTTTGCTCTTGCTTCTTAGCTCTTTTATGTGATGTTAGGGTGTCAATCTGAGATCTTTCTAGCTTTCTGATGTGGGCAATTACTGTTATAAATTTCCCTCTTAACACTGCTTTAGCTGTGTCCCAGAGATTCTGGTACATTGTGTCTTTGTTTTCATTGGTTTCAAAGAGCTTCTTGATTTCTGCCTTAATTTCATTACTTACCTAGGAGTCATTCAGGAGCAGGTTGTTCAATTTCCATGTAATTGTGTGGTTTTGAGTGAGTTCCTTAATCCCAAGTTCTAATTTGATTGCACTTTGGTTTGAGAGATTGTTATGATTTCAATTCTTTTGCATTTGCTGAGGAGGGTTTTACTTCAAATTATGTGGTTCCATGTGGCACTGAGAAGAATGTATATTCCGTTGATTTAGGGTGGAGAGTTTTGTAGAAGTCTATTAGGTCCACTTGATCCAGAGCTGAGTTCAAATCCTGAATATCCTTGTTAATTTGCTGTCTTGTTGATCTGTGTAATAATGACATTGGGGTGTTAAAGTCTCCCACTATTATTGTGTGGGAGTCTAAGACTCTTTGTAGGTCTCTAAGAACTTGTTTTATGAATCTGGGTGCTCCTGTACTGGAAGCATATATATTTAGGATAGTTAGCTCTTCTTGTTATAGTAATCCCTTTACCATTATGTAATGTCCTTCTTTGTCTTTTTTTGTTCTTTGTTGGTTTAAAGTCTGTTTTGTCAGAGACTAGGATTGCAACCCTTGCTTTTTTTTACTTTCCATTTGCTTGGTAAATTTTACTCCATCCCTTTATTTTGAGCCTATATGTGTCTTTGCATGTGAGATGTGTCTGATGATTACAGCACACCAATGGATTTTGACTCTTTATCCAATTTGCCAGTCTGTGTCTTTTAATTGGGGCATTTACCCCATTTACATTTAAGGTTAAATTGTTATGTGTGAATTTTATCATCACAATGCTATCTGGTTATTTTGCACACTAGTTGATGTAGTTTCTTCATAGTGTCATTGCTCTTTATATTTCATTTTGTTTTTGCAGTGGCTGGTTTCTTGTTTTATATCTCCATATTTAGTGTTTTTTTCAGGGGCTCTTGCAAAATAGGCCTGGTGTTGATGAAATCCCTCACATTTGGCTATCTGGAAAGGATTTTATTTCTCCTTTGCTTATGAATCTTAGTTTGGCTGGATATGAAATTCTGGGTTGAAAATTCTTTTCTTTAAGAATGTTGAATATTGACCCCCAATCTCTTCTGGCTTGCAGGGTTTCTGCAGAGAAGTCTGCTATTGGTCTGATGGCCTTTCCTTTGTAGGTGACCTGGCTTTTCTCTCTGGCTGCGCTTAACATTTTTTCCTTCATTTTCACCTTGGAGAATCTGATGATTATGTGTCCTAGGGTTGATCTTCTCATGGAGTATCTTAGTGGTGTTCTCTGTATTTCCTGAATTTGCATGTTGGCCTGTCTTGCTAGGTTGGGGAAGTTCTCCTGCACAATATCCTAAAACGTGTTTTCCAGCTTGTTTCCATTGTTCCCATCTCTTTCAGGTACTTCAATTAATCGTAGGTTTGGTCTTTTTACACAGTCCCATACTTCTTGGAGGCATTGTTCATTCCTTTCTATTCTTTTTTCTCTAATCTTGTCTGCCTGCCTTATTTAGCAAGGTCTTCTTCAAACTATGATACCCTTTCTTCCATTTGGTTGATTCAGCTATTGATACTTGTGTATGTTTCACACAGTTCTCATGCTGTGTTTTTTGGCTCCATCGGGTCATTTATGTTCCTCTCTAAACTGGTTATTTAGTTGGCAGTTCCTCTAACCTTTTATCAAGGTTCTTAGCTTCTTGGCATTGGGTTATAACATGCTCCTTTAGCTCAGCACAGTTTTTTATTAACCATCTTCTGAAGTCTACTTCTGCCAAATCGTCCATCTCATCCTCCATCCAGTCTGTGCCCTTGCTGGAGAGGTGTTGTGATGATTTGGAGGATAAGAGGCACTCAGGCCTTTTGGGTCTTCAGTGTTTTTTCATTGATTCTTTCTCATCTTCATGAGTATGTCTAGTATCAATCTTTGAGGCTGCTAACCCTTGAATGGGGTTTTTAAGGGGACTGTTTTTATTGTTGATGCTGTTGTTATTGTTTTCTGTTTGTTTGCTTTTCTTGCAATGGTCAGGTCCCTCTTCTGCAGGGCTTTTGTGATTTGCTGGGGGTTCACTTCAGGCCCTATTCATCTGGTTCACTCTCACACATGGAGTTATCACTCAAGGAGGCTGGAAAACAGCAAAGATGGGTGCCCGCACCTGTTTCTGGGATCTCTGACCTTGAGAGTCACCAACTTGATGCCAGTAGGATCACTCCTATATAGGGTGTCTGACAATGCCTTTTGGAGGATCTCACCCAGTTGTGGCATGGAGAACAGGACCCATTTAACAAAGCACTTTGTCCCTTGGTGGAGGGGGTATGCTTTGCTGGGGGGAAACCCATTCATCTGGGCTGCCCAGATTCCTGAGAACTACAAGGAGGAAAGGCTAAGTCTGCTGGTCTGCAGAGACTATGGCCACCCCTCCCCCTAGGAACTCAGGACCAGAGAGATCAAGGTTCTGTCCCTGAGCCTCTGGATGGTGTTGCTGGAGTTCCTACAGGGAGGCCCTGCCCAGTGAGGAAGGATGGGTCAAGATCAGACCTGAAGGGGTGCTCTGGTCATGGTCTGCCACAGCTGGTATTTTGGGCTGTGGGGGACACTTCTTGGAACCAAGCTGTCCAGCAGGCTTCAGAAGGAGAAAAGTGCAGCCTGGAGCTATAGAGATGGATGCTGCTCTTCCTCTGTCCAGGGAACTTAGAGTGTTAGGCAGTTATGAGTCCCAGTGCTGGCTGCTGCCCCTCCCACAAGGAGCTCAGAGGGCTTAGACTGCAGGCAGCCTTAGCTGCAGTGCTGGTCGCCCCTCCCTCCAGTAACTTGGTTGGCTTAAGCAGATTCTAGTTGCAAGGCTGTTGAGAATCTGTGCAGCTCTGGGGTTGGGACCCTAGGCCCTGGTGGTGTGGGTTCCTGAGTTGGATCTTCTTATCTGTGGGTTGCACAGTTCTGTAGAAAAGTATGGTTTCCCCAGTTGTGTAGCTTGCTCACTCGCCACCTCTTTTGGCTGGGTTGTTGGAGCTTACCTACCCCATGTGGCTCCCAGATGGTCTGGCGGATCACACTGATCTTCCTTCCTCTCCATGGATCATGCCAGCTGCCTAGTCAGTTCTGATGAGAGAACCTGGATACCTTGGTTGCTGGTGCAGGATTCACATGTATTATGATCCTTTTCAATGGGAGCCTCCAATTGCTGCTGGTTTTAGTTGGCCATCTTGGTCCCACCCCTTAACCCAAATTTAAAAAAAAAATTTTCCTCTTGTTTTCTTCTAGCACTTTTATAGTTTAGCTTTTTCATTTAGGTCTATGATCTATTTTCATTTAAGTTTTTGTACACAATATGAAGTGTTGAGGGTTCCTCCCTTCTTTTTTTTTTATTTATTTTTTTTTAAATTTTAGAGCTCACTGTGTTGTCCAGGCTGGAATGCGATGGTGTGATCATTGGTCACTATAGCTGAATTCCTGGCCTCAAGCAATCCTCCTGCCTTGGGCTCCCAAAGCACTGGGATTACAGGCATAAGCTACTGTAACCACATCCCTCCCTCCCCTTTGTTCCTTTCCTTTCCTTTCCTTTCCTTTCCTTCCTTCCCTTTCCTTCACTTTCCTTTCTTTCCTTCCTTCCTTCCTAGAATATAGCTATCCAATTCTTCCAACACCATTTATTAAAAAGATTATTATTTCCTCATTTAATTATATTGGTGTCTTTATAAAAAAAAATTGACTATACATTTGTAGGTCTGTTTTTGGATTCTCTATTGTCTTCCATTAACAATTTTGCCTATACCACGTTGTCTTTATTGCTGGAGATTTATTTGAGATATCTAAATCAGGTAGAGTAAATACTCTAATATTTTTCAAAGTTGAAAAACCCAAAGTCATTTTGACTATTCTAGGTCTTTTATGATCTAGGTATATCATAAATTTATGATTGGTTTTCCAGTATCTTCAAACAGGAATTCTAGGATGGAACTTTATTAGAATTGCATTAAATTTGTAGATCAATTTTGGAAAAATTTATGTCTTGATAATATCAAGTCTTCTAGTTCAAGAACATGGTAGAGCTCTTCATTTATTTAGCTCTTATTTAATTTCTCTCAGCAATATTGATTTGTGTCCTCAGTGCACAGATATTGCTAATATTTTGTCAAATATATCCCTAAGTATTCCACTATTTTATATGATAATTTTAAAACATTGTTAATTGACAACTTATAGAAATACAGTTGATATTTGTGTACTGACTCTGTACTGAGAAATCTTAATAAACATTTAAGATCCTAATATTTTGTGTATTTTCTCTAAATATTATATCATCTGCAAATAAAGACAGTTTTAGTTTTTCTTTTCCAATGTGTATGATTTTTTTCTTTTCTTCATATACTGGTTAGAACCATAGTACATTTGAATGGAAGTAATGAGAGTGGAAATCCTCATTTTGCTCCCAATCCTAGGGGGAACATTCAATTTTTCACCATTACATATGATATTAAATGTGAGTTTTAAATGTTGTGGGGAATTGATTCTGGATTTTTGATAAATGCCTTCACTGTATCTCTTGAGATAAACTTATGCTTTTCTTCTTTTTCAGTCACTAATTGTAGATTACATTGATTGAGTTTTGAATCTTGAACTAATCTTGCATTCTTGTGACAAACCTCACTTTTTCATGATGTCTTATCCTTTTCATATATTGTTGAATTTGATTTGCTAAAGCATTGTTAAGAATTTTTGCATCTATGTTCACAAGTGAAGTTGACATATTGCTTTATGTTCTTATAATGTCTTCCTATTTGCAGATAATGCTAGCTTCATGGCTTACTTATAGAATGAGCTTGGAAGTGTTCTCTCCTTTTCAATTTTCTGGAAGAAACTTGATATTATTTCTACATTAAATCTTTGATAGAATTCACAAATGAGGATACCTACTTAATATGCTCATATCTTTCTCTATCTTTTAAAATATATGGATAAAGTACTGATATTAGGTTGGTGCAAAAATAATCATGGTTTTGTCATTAAAAAAATTACAAAAACCACAATTACTTTTGCACCAACTTAATAACTGTTTAATATTCTTTTCTACTAATTCTGTCATCTGTTTCATTTCCATTGACTGGCTTTTATTTTCATCAAGGTTTATATTCTTTGCATATAATGTAATTTTCTATTTGATGCCAGATATTATTTTTGTTTTACTTTTGAGGTGCTGATATGTATATAGATGTACATACACATATTATATATTATATATTAGAAAAGGAATTAAATATATTATAAAAGGAATATATAAACATTATAAAAGAAATATATGTATAAATCATATATATACATATATTTCTTTTATAATATTTATGTATATTCTTATCTTTTTGTGATAACAGATATTATTGGTGTGATAACAGATCTTATTGTAACTATTCATTTTCTGAGATTCTTTGCCTGGCCTTGAGTAAATTTCTCATGTACATATGCATATATATACATTTTTAAAAAAATAATAATTAATATAATTCTATGTATATAATATACATATAAAATTTCTTCAAATGTTCTTGAACTTTGGCTTAGGATGCAAGTGACTTTAAAATCATTTGATCCTTTCAAAGTTTGCATTAAAGTTTTGTTAGGTAGTTCCAGAAACATTCCTTCTTTCTGGTTTTTTTTTTTTTGTTTTTTTTTTTTTTTTGAGACAGAATCTCACTCTGTCTCTCAGGCTGTAGTGCAATGATGCAATCTTGGCTTACAGCAGCCTCGACCTTCCCAGGCTCAGGTGATCCTCCCACCTCAGCCTCCTGAGTAGCTAAGACCATGAGTGTATGCCATCATGCCTGGCTAACTTTTGTATGTTTTGTAGAGACGAGTTTTTGCCTTGTTGCCCAGGCTGCTCTGAAACTCCTGAGCTCAAGGCTCCCAAAGTACTAGGATTACAGGAGTGAGCTACTGCCCCTGGCAGGAACATTCTTAATCTATGGCTAACTTTGCTCCACTAAGGCAAGGAAATACCCATCCCATTCTGAGCATTCTACCTAATATTCCCCACTATGGATTGTAGAAATACAAACTGTTGTTATCTTTTTGTGATCACCAGATGTTGTTCTGACTCTTCATTTTCTGAGATTCCCTGGCTTTGAGTAGGTTTCTCATATACATGTAATTATATATACTCAAATGAAGACTTAAAGAGGACCCCGCACAGATTGCCAAAGTTCTTTCTGTCTTTGCAGTTCCTTCTTTTTAATACAGCTTTCCTTTCTGGCACTCTTTTCTGCAAATTCTTGTTATTGTGGCTTCCCCTGCCTCCTCATATCAGGGAAGCTATGGACTCTGTTTGGGTCCCAGCTCCTTGCATGGGGCATGAAAACGCTCTCTAGGCTATAAACTATGGCAGTCATATAGCTCAGGTCATTGATTTCTCTTCTCTAAGAGTTCACTGTCCTTTACTGAATGATGTCCAGTGGCCATTGTTTCATATATTTTCTCTATTTTTTTTGTTGACTTGACTCAACTTTCCTAATATGAATCATCTCATTACACCTGCTATGATGCTCCATTCATGAAATGTAATCAAAGTGGTGTGCTGCCTCAATTTAAGGAACTGTTTTGAAGATGAGTGTGAATTTCTTTTGCTTAAGTATAAGTATAAAAGCAGCAGTAGACTATGTAGGTCTATTTAAAAAAAGAGAACCACTTAATCTTTTTAGATTAGGAGGGAGGTTAATTTTATTCCATCACTTCATCATAACCAACAGATATATTACTTTTAATGAGATAATTAAGTATATTTAGAGATATTTATAAAATAAATTTATCTAAGGGGAAAAATCTTGGATAGACCCTATTATTCCATCCTTGCTATGACCCCATGAATAGAGAGGAAGTCAAAACCTTTCCCTAGTAAATTAGGAGTCTATTAATATCCCACTAGGTTAAATTTCTACTTCCGGTCTCATGAGCTTATGTAAAGACTGCTAACATTCATGTCTTCTGATTATAGATTCAGTATCTGCTTTATCTTACCATTTGTTAATATATACTTTCAAATGGATAATTTAAATGAGATGCTTCTGATTGGTAATTATGTTTACTCAATGTGTTATAACTTACAATATATTTCTTGTGTATTATTTGATTCGAGTTTCATAACACCCCTATGAGTTAAAACATTCGAATGTTTTGAGTCCCTTTACTTAAAGAACTTAAGATGCAGAAGAGACATCAGTAGATGATCCAGCAATGATCTATAATGAGGCAGAACAAAGACTTGAATGGTTCCTCGAACTCCTGCTCCAGTGCTCTACCCACTTGCCTATATTTGTTATGCTACTTGGATCAAATGTTGAAACCTGTCAATGTTAAACTTTCTGGTCACTATATGTTCAATAGAAGAAGCCTGAGTCTTGGCATCATTTGTCAACTTACTTCATGAAATTAAAAGGTTGATAATATAAATTAATGACATAATATTATTCATCTTAACCTGACTCAACTGTCTGAACAATTTTGCTTATCATGATGCCCTATTCATGAAATTTAATCAAAGTGATGTGCTGCCTCAATTTAAGGAAATGTTTAGAAGATAAATGTAATTTTATTTTCTTAAGCAGAAGAGTAAAAGCATCAAACTATCTAGGTCTATTAAAAAAGAGAACAAATGGGATGCAACAGCAACACCACCATTCTTAATTGGTATCACAAGGAGCTGACCTCTCAAGCATAATTATATATTGTCTTAACTCCCCAAACATAGAAACAGTCAACAAATTGCACCCATATGCTATAAGGTTTTTTTAAAAAGTGTTCCCTTTAGTCACAAAGGTATGCATATTGCATATGATAGTCGCTAATAAAAAAAATGTCACCAGCTGCCTCACCGTCAGATAGTATTTACTACAGGAGAAGCAATCCATAGTTAACACTTAAAACTTTAGGCTTTTGTGTGACCACACAAATTATAATTCTCACTCTGGAGCCTTTTCTGGGATCTTTTAACCTCTCAGTAGATCAGAGATCAATGGTTAATAAAAATATGATCCATGTTTGTGCCAGTGATATAGAAAGATTAAGTTCTATGTATTTTCTGAAATAGCTAGACAGTTTTCTCAGATAAAGGTTAAAGGCTATATTTAGTATTAGCATTTAAACAACTACTTAGACACTTATTGATAGAATATCTCTGGACTTAATTGCACGTGAAATACCAAAAGTGGTCAGAATAATTGCAATTTAAGTGTTTTTCTTAAGGCACATTATTCGGTTTTGCTAGCTAGAATTAAGACACCTCCACTATTTTAGAGAATTCTTTTGATTGTGAGGAAAGGAAGCCTACTATTCAGACCACTTCAAGAAAAAGTAAGCAGAATCAGGAAGCCATTAAAGACCAAAATATCTCTAGAGCCTGGCTCGTGTTGGTTATCTCTTTCTCTTTCTCATTTCCACATATTCTTACTTTCATAGTTTCTTAGATTCTGTCTCTAGAAATTATCTAATGTCTTTCCTCCTCTGCTTACTTAGAGCCTCTGGTCCTTTACTATTTATTTTATTTGAGCATGTTCTCATGAATTTTACAAAGAACCAGCTCTTCTTTTACACCAGGAGTGACAGTTGAGGGAAAAAAATTATTAGAATATAGTATGCAAAAATAGGCAACAGTAACAGCTCATGTAAGTCTTCATTGCCCTCAAGGAGACTTTCTAGGTCATTTCTTGGGTATCTGACTTGTATATCGATTGTGTAAAAAATGTAAAATGTAAGATTTGGAATAATCATCATGGCACTCTTGCCAGAGAAGTGGTAGACCATAACTGAGACACCAAAATATGTAGGATGCAATAAGATTTACTTTAAGTATTTAATGAGATGTTTTAGTTGATTGAAATTGTATATTTATCTGTAAAATGTATTGATTCCTTTTGGTTAAATTATTGATAAGACTTAACAGTGTTTCCAGCATTATGCTTATAATTAAGGAGTCAAATTCTCCACAATGCTACATAAATCACATGAATGTACGTATTACCCATTTCAATGTGATCTCAAAACACTAAAATAATATGCTTTATACCAAGAGTTTGCTGCATATATTTGGATAATTTTATATGATATCATGTTATTATATGCTGAATCTTGTTTTATCCATTTCACTTGTGCTTGTATAGAGGACACAGTTTGTCTGTAGCCAGGTTTATTTTTATTCAGCTGCTGCTCATTCACTACTACAGTTCACAAATAGAAACAGATGCTTCCATGTGAACTTTCTGAGCAAAAGGGTGGAAACATTGAAATATCCCCAAAAGTAAGTGATTGTCATGGCATAATTATGACAGGCACAATAAAGTAAGACTTAGATAGAAGCAAAGCCTAATGCCACCCAAATGTCCTAATGGCACCCCAATGTATTATACTAATGCTACGAAGGAAAACAAGCTCTTTATGAAATGCCTTCTGCTTCTGGTGGCTTTAGGAAAAATGACTTCCTTTAATAGTTGTAAGCATTTTATCTTGTATTAGTCAAGTCATGAGGTCTGTTCAATAATTTTCCATTTCTCTTCTTTCAAGGCACAAGGTAAAAGTATTCATCTACCAAACTTTGGGTTAGACAATATCATGTGTAATGTGGGTTAGTTAATATCATGTGGCTTGCTTTAGGCTAAAGAAATGTGGGAAGTGATGAATTTTCCTCCAGATAAAAGCTTTAGAAGCCATAAAATAATTCACCTTGTATATTTTTTTCTGCATTCTTAGTTATCAACATGTGTATTGAGCTAAATACTCCGTTAGTCAGATCTTGGAGCAATTATGATTAACAGAGCCCCCAGTGAACCTGAAGACTCTTGGTTCACCTTGTTGAACATGTATAAATTAGAAATAAACTTTTATGTAATCCACTGAGATTTTAAGCTTTGGTTAGTGTTGTTATGACAGCATTATATGGACTACCTGAAACACACAGCATGACCTCATACATATCACCTCAAGGACACTCACCCAACAAAATGGAAAGAAATTGTCTTAAAAACAAAGAATCCTTAGAGTATTAAATTGAAAAGTTAAAGGAATATCCTGGGATGACAGGTATTGCAAAGGTATTTCAGAAATGGGAAAACTTTCTACTTTTGAAAATATTCTTAATCTTTCCAAATAAAAAGCATTAAAAAATTTGTTCATTATTTGAGAGTTCCTAGTACGTAAAATTCTAATTTCTTACTAGTGACCTTGAATGCTGAAACCCACCTACTTCATGACTCTGACTCTTGGGTGCACTTACATTTGGCTTGAACCAATAATCAGACTTAAATACAAATAAATAATTTATAAATGTGTACATAGCAAAAGATTATAAACTACTACTCAGATATTTCTTTTCAGTATGACTGCTAACATATTAGATATTTATCTAAGAACCTATCTTGTTCCTTTTACAATGCCAACATAACAATGCTCTGGTAGAGTCCCCTCCACCAGTTGTGGAAGGGTCATATTCATCAACTCAAAGAATACTGGATTCTAGCAATGCTAGGTACTAATGACCAATCAGTCCCTCACCCCCTCAAAATCTAGGCAATTTCTTAGACTTTCAAAGTAGAACTCATGCACGTTCTAACAATTAAATATGAGTTTCAAAGTATCATAGCATATTTTATAATCAAATTAGCTGTTCTGTGCTGGATAAGAACACTGTAAAACACTGTTTATTAGAGTAATAAACCAAGAGTAAGATATCTGTAAAGCAAAGACATCAAATGCCTCTGACCAGATAGTCTTTGGAATGTACATGAGTCTTGCCACCTACTTTGAGTCATATAGAGCAAAGGTAGTTACCATTTTTACATGCGCTGATGAGATTATTACTCATTTTTTCTGCTACAGGAATGTAATAAACCGAGTGTTTATGTCACCCAAATTTCATGTGTTGGAACCTAACTCCAAGATGATGGTAATAGAAAGTGGAGCCTTTGGGAGGTGATTAGGTCATGAAGACAGGGCCCTCATGATTGGAGTTATTGCCCTTATTAGAGAGCCCCCAGCATGCTATCTCATCCCTTCCACCATGTGAAGAGGCAGCAAGAAGGTAGGTTCTCACCAGACACCAAGTCTACTGGTGTCTTGATCTTGAACTTCCCAACCTCCAGGATTGTGAGAAGTAAATATTTGTTGCTAATAAGCCACCCAGTTTTTGTTGCTTTGTTATAGCAACCTAAATATTTCAAGATGTAGAGTGCTGCAGGTAAATTCTAAAACTAACATACAGATAATTTTCAAATAGAATATTCATCCATTTTCCTTCATTATTTGTACATCTTCAGAAGGCCATCAGGTGGTTATGCAGCCCATTTTAACTCTTAATTATGGCAATCTTTAAAGCTTTCTCTGCTCATTTTAACGTGGACATACTGATTTTGATTTTTTGAATGATCCTAAGTAATGCTTCAAATTAACAATACATTTTTATTGCAATCTCCCAGGGTAGATTGTTGCAAATCTTCCTTCCCTACCCTCAGACTTAAACTAGAACAAGTAAATTTTTATTACATTATTTTCACTGGTCATGTAGTCAGTGAATTTAATTTGTAGTGCATTAAATCATTGAATGAAAACGGATTAGTGAGAGTATGTTAAAAAAATTCCAGGTTGTGGATTACTATCTCCCATCTCCAAAAAACCAATTAAGCTCTTTTTCTATAGGTAAATTATCTATGTACTATGCTGAACTCTGAAGAAAATGATACTTTTAATGAAATGCAAAGAAATCACGGTATAAAATATAGTTCTAAAACTCTGAGAGCTCAAAGTCTTATTTGTAAATCAAGGATTGAACTTGATTATCATATCTTTGCCAAATATCCTAGATTTGGTAAAAAGCCCTATCTTATTATAATTTCTTTTAATGTGATTTCTAATAATTTAAACAGTGTAACATCATACATAATACATGTCAATATACTGTGCCAATATAGGATGTGATATAGCTATACTCCTCTTTTATATTTAAGATGTATGAACTCAATACATCCTGTTATCCAATGCAGCCAGGAAGACATTTGTGAGAAAAGTTAACTCAGTAACTCAGTACTCCTTCTTTCAAAAAAAAAAATGTTTTTTTGGGGTTTTGAGAATATTACCAAACTCTGATCACATTATTTTAAATATATCTACCTAGGCAGGAAAAAAAAATAGCAATTAAAAGCAAAAAGGGGTTTTATTATAATAAATGCGTTAAAGGTCAAAATAGTGAATAAAGAAAATAGTAAATGGCAACAATTGAGAAGACCTATATAGAAATAATTGGTACACATATTGTTGACTTTTAAATAAAATAATAATAAATATAGTAATACTGATAATAATGGAAAGAAGTGTCCAGTCTTACTAGGAACTTATTGTGCTTCTGTGGGAAAAACCTAAACACATCATAATCAAAATTTTAACAAGACTTCAAACCTTCAAAATGCTTTAAAGGAAGCTGCTCCATTTCCCCCTTTTAAAAAAGAAATTTAAAAATGTGAAAGCTTAGAAAAAAACAAAATATAGGCTGGCAGGAAGATATTCCATCTTGTTGGGTCTCTGAAACAGCGGAGGACTGAACACTTGTAAACACGGTACCTTGAGCAATAGTTGCCTTATGGCTTGTAGTTTGAGGCCAAGAATAGCACGATAAACTTAGAATGTGTTTATCTCTTGGCAGCTTCATTTTACTTGCAAGCTGGGAGGGACAAAGACCAACAATTTTCCACCTACAAAGTGCATCTAAACTGGCAGGCAGCTCAGTGAGTAAGTCAACTTGAGCCTCCGGATCACAGCCACTCTCAAAGACAGATGGACAGTTTTGGAAAGGGGGATGATTCAGCCAATATCTCAAGGCGTTTGTGGTTACAATGTTCTGGAGTTGGGGTGGTTGGGGGTAAGCTTTAATTTGGAGACTTCACATATGTTTAGTGCTATTTTAAGAGACAAGCGTTATGTGTGCAAATTTTTATAATTCCATGTTCATTGCTAGCTGAAAACAGGTAGGAAGGTGGCAGCATTTTGAGAACCTGTGTTTTATTTCCAAGATAGAGATAGCTAAACAATATTTCCAAATACTGTTTTATTCTGTTATTTTTGTTTTACTTCTGTCATAATAGTAAAGCATTGTATTTGCTTTATTTAATGGCTTAATGTCAATTGTTTAATGACTGATTATAAACCCAATAGACTTTTATGTTTTATTTTCAAATTGCTTAATTTAGGATTAGCATTAATTATATAAAGTGTGGTTAGTAAAAGACTAGCTCAGATGCTGCAATTTTGAAGACCCAGCAAGGGATCTTCTTGATAAAAGGTTCGAGATATCTGCTGAAGTTGTGTTATTTGTGTATTGGGGGTGTTATGTTTCAAATTATGGAGATATTTTGAGATCATAAAATAGAATTCTTATTTTAAACTACTAGATTCATTTTTTTTCGCTTTCAAGACATCCTCTTCTGCTTCAATACATAGATATTTGCCTAACATTATTCTGAAATAATAATGCTTAGAAAGTACACATAAAATCTTTCAGTATTGGGAGAGCTCATTTTATGAATAGAGTATGGTTCCGATTTAGTAATAAATTGGGAAGAAATTATTTATATTATCACCAAGAATAAAGAATGATCCTGCTCCTTTTCATAAAAACTGTGATCAAACAGAAAATACAAAATAATGTCAGAACAGAAATGAAATCTTACCAGCTGTTTGTTCAACTCAAGAATTTCTGCTTGAAATTTGTTTCATGTGGACTAAGATAAAATAATTTTTCCTGCTTTTTTTACATGTTATTAAAAAGTAGATTTGTGAAGAGAAAAGGCAATGGCCAAAGCAATAGATACTTAGACATGTCAGAAATAGATTCTAAGTAGTTCTGTGAATGACTCACCATGATTTCTTCCAGACAGTGGCAAATTAACATATTTTACACCCAGAGCAAATTTAATGCAATTAAGCCTGCCAAATTCCAATTTCTTTGCCTCACCACATGTCCAGGATAATTGTTTGTTTCCCCCCAAAAAATGGTTTCCTGTGGACCTCCACCACACCTCATGCTGGAGTTAAAGTTCTGCAAAAAATGGGTAGTTGTTTTTTCAGCTTGCACCCTGCAATCCTTACTTTGTTGAAGAGATCCAGCCCAATTTAGGCTAGTGCTACTATTTTATTCCCCTTTTATTGTGCACCTCGATTACGTCAACTTGTTCTGTTCAAATTATACCACTACAGGAAAAACTAACTCGATGAAAAAATTTTCTTAAAGTGGATTTTTACTTTTGACAAAACATGTCATTGGCAAAATGGTATTTTTCCTTTGAGAACGATTTAATATAGCTATTCATTAAATTTTACAAGCTTCAATTTGTGTTAGTAAATGATCACATGATGGGACACACGGGATTCTTCTGAGTCCATTGCAATTGTGAATCCAAATGGACATAAAGCCTCCTTGCTATTAAAGGTGGATCACTCCCATCCGGAAGGCAACTATGTTTAACTGAAATTTGTCATTCTTATTGTCAAATCATCACTCTTTAAACATCAGTATTTTAAGTACTCTTATATATAGTTGGTGGAGTCAGAATTGCACGCTTTTAGAAAGAATTTGGAAGGAAAGATGCTTCTGTATGATTTAATTTCCATAACACTCATAACCTTCCCTTCCTTCCCACCTCCTCATCCAAATATTAGAGAAGCTACAGCCTCAATATAAACAGCACTACATCCCCACCCTCCCTCCCTACTGCAAAAGGAAACTGTTCAAAATGAGCCAGAAACCAAGGAAAACAGTAAGGCAAGGTAGTTCTAAAAATAAATCCCCAAATATCTGTCAACAATAACGATGACAAAAATGCCAGAATTGGGAGAAGAGAATCAGTCATTTGGCTGTTATGCAGATATTATGAATGCTAGAAGAAAGGAGGCATATTGGTGAAGATTCTTATGACCACATAGTTGTTGGGAACACACATTCTAATGGGGAGAGAGAAAGATTCAGGAACCAGTTTCTCCAAAAAGTAAAATTAATCAAAATAGGAAATGAGTGCTTTTCTTATTTGAAGAGGGCACCCTGGTTGCTGTCACGACCACTGTTCATTGAGAAAAAGAAGAATATGTTGCCCATGTTTTAAGAACATGCAGTTCTGTCCAGGGAGAAACAGCACAAGAAAGTAAAAAACAAGAACATGCATTGTCATGGCAAAAAGGCCAAAGAGATCCTGAACTCTCAGCAGAAGTGGACTTTTCCTATCCCCCAAAAAACTAGTGATCTGTTGTTTCTTGCTTTTATTGTCATAATCTGACATAAGCATAAAAGCTTTGAAAAGTCTGAAAAGATGAAAACAAAAAGTTTCTTCTCTCTTCTATGCCAGGAAAGACATTCTGCCAACTACCTCTTCACCTAAAAAGGAAGAACCTGGTCCAATGAGACTAAGTGAGATGACTGGAATGTAAAAATCACTGTCCAGTACAAACAGCCAGTGAACATTTTCCATTTAAAAGCTTCTTGCTGCTGAACAAACATAGCCAACTCCCTTGAAGATTATTTTAGCCCTCATTGCCTTTGCATAAAGATTCCTCATGTTACTCTGAGACTTTTTATTACTTTGAGGCCGTCCTTTTATTACATTGCAAACAACCCATCTCTATTTGAGTATGATGAGAAGCCCAAGTCACTGATGTAGATTGAAAGCTTGGCTCTGGACTAGGCCATTGGAAGAAGGTTCAAATGTTTACCAATGCTTTTCCTTGGCTGTATAGTACATGCACCTGTGTTTTATGCTAAGAAAATATTTCCATCCCTAAGGATATTTAAACTACTTAAATTCAGTGCACAGAAGACAATTCTCCAGCTCTGTGTTAAGCAGCTGATTACTCTGCCTTTGTAGAGAATTCCAATCCAATTTTTGCTTCCTGCCCACTTTTATCCACATTTCTACCATATCACCCCAACCTTTGTTTTAGTTAATTCCCTGCCCAGCAGGATTTCCACTGGAGTAGGCAATGGAGAAAGAAATACAGCAATCCCAGTATTTCATGGGAAATGACCAAAAATTAAAATCAATCCCATTTTTAATTCTTATGAGTTTTGATTTCTAATATGAATTATGTTTAATACTTTTACCTAGACACAAAACTTAGGCCAATCCCTGAAAGTCTGTTCAATACAAGCAAATTCATTGGAAGTTAACTCACTGAAGGCCAATATTCTTTTTTTTTTCTTTTTTTTGAGATGGACTCTTGCTCTGTTGCCCAGGCTGGAGTGAAGTGGTGCAATCTCGGCTCACTGCAAGCTCCACCTCCTGGGTTCATGCCATTCTCCTGCCTCAGCCTCCCAAGTAGCTGGGACTACAGGTGCCTGCCACCACGCCCAGCTAATTTTTGTATTTTTAGTAGAGACGGGATTTCACCGTGTTAGCCAGGATGGTCTCAATCTCCTGACCTTGTGATTCGCCCGCCTCGGCCTCCCAAAGTGCTGGGATTACAGGTGTGAGCCACTGCACCCGAAGGCCAATATTCTTTTATTTACTAAACTTAAAAAAGTAAATTACAGCCATCTATATTTGATAGGATGGTTTCACTATCTTTTTTAATATTTCTGTAAAGTTTTTCTCACTTTTCCATTTTTCTTCAATACAATATCTTAAGGAATGCTTGATTTCTCTCTGCTCCAACAGAAATATATATCCATAAATATACATACATGAGGAGAATATTTTCATGAAGATTATTTTTGTGCAGAATGTATTTATATATTCATAGAGAATATACTGTTGAATAGGTCTTTGAGTATATCCTTATGTATATATTTTGAATACAGTTCTGTGAATGTATTCTTGTGACCTTCAGATTTTTGTTCTCTCTGCTCTGCCTCCTTCTGTACATCTTATTATCTCAGTTTCCTCTTTCAATTCCCCTATATCCTCTTCTCCAACCCTCATCCATAAATCCCCCTTCCAACCTGTCCCTAGTTAATGTGACCAGACATTCTGGACCAGGACAGTTCTGGTTTTTCACTTGTGGTAAATAAAATAATGTTTGTTAATTATTTTAGTGATTCCTTTTCCTCTCAAGCAAATTCTGGTTTGAGCAATATCTTACTGGGTCCTTCTCCCCCTTGAATTCTCTGCCACTGTAATCTCCAGTCCAGGATTTGTTCTCTGATAGTAGTCCTAGCATCCAAAGTGTGGTCTCTACTTTTCATCTCAGTTCCACCCAGTTGTAGCAACAAGTAGTCAAGGGGAGACAAATTAAGTACTAAAAATACTGTGAGGAAAACAAAATGAGAACTGATCAAATAAAACTGCAGGGAAGTTCAATGTTACTAAAACTATCCTATGCAGTAAAATTTACTATAAATTTGTTCAAAATAGTTAAGAAAACAAGTAAATGTAGATGATCGGATAGTTATCAAATGCAACACTGGAAAATTGTCTTTCAGAAAATTAATCCAGAGATGGATAAGAGGAGGCAGGACAAGAATCAGGAGCATTTTACACAACCTCTAGGATTACTCACCTGCCTCTATGAGAGAGTAACATCACTATCTACCCGTCCAACTTAATAATCATTCCTTTAAAGCCTTCAAAATTTGGTAGGCACAAGGAGTATAACATAAACTCACACAATCTAATAAATCTACACCACCATTTATTGAAAGCTTACTCTGTGTCTGGAATTATGCTATCCAGTTATCTCATTAATATTTAAAGTAACCCCCCATTAGTTATTATTTCATAAAGAAATCGATACTTAACATTTTGTAACTTGTGCAAGGTGACACATCTAGTAATGTGTTAAAGTTAAGAAGGAACCCAGGGCTGCTAAACTCCACAGCTGGTGCCCCTAAACTTTATTCAAATAAAATCTATGGGAATATGATGCAATGTAAGATAGCTATAATAAATAATGTATACATATGAGGTATAAATGATAAGTATAAGTTTTGAGCTTTAGTTTACATTTAATGATTAGAGAAATGTAAGACTTGTAAGGAAGTATTCATGGAAAAAATCAGGTTATCTGGAAGAGTGACTTTTTTGAGTACTTAGAAAATGGAGGAGAGACAAAGAGAGCATTTCATCATTGCTCTGAAGTTCATTCATTGCTGTGAGGCTCATTAAAGCCCTTAGCACAATGTCTGGCATACTTACAGCACTAATGTATATTTTAAATAATGTTTAATAATATTCATGTTTAATAGTATTAAGTATTATTAATACTATCAAACACTAAAATACCTTATTATTTGTCTTGTATTTTAGTGTTGTGACATGATATGAACTGATAGAAAACATAATTAAGATGGTTGGCACTTCCAAAATAATCTTTGTAGTTTTACAAAGATTTACCAGCAGAGTTTTGACGAAGTCAGACTCTTCATTTATACATTTATATAGAATCAGGCTATAGAGGCTTTAGCTCTTCCAGATGTGAATAGGTATATTTTGATTGAAAGTGTTGTGACAAATATTTCCCCATGTGATCACGTTTTCAAACACGTAAAGTACATGAATGTGTTTATAGACACATGCTTATGAAAGTGTTAGAGCAACTTTATCTCATATTCAGAATCAAGTTATCTGGGGGCAGGGAGAATTATTATTGTCGCGTTATCTCCACAGTAACTTAAAAAAGAGAGAGAGGGATGAGAGGAATTTAAACCACCAGGAGCATTAAAACAAACAAAGAAACAGTGCAAAACCTGAATTTAGATAATAATAGTTAAAGATTTAATTTCAAAATTTATTAATGAATTAAATAAGTGTAAAATGTTCTGAATCTCTTTTTATAAGTATAAAATATTCTGAAAAGAGATTTTTTAAATGAAAACTTATACAAATGTGGGCCCAGTGTTCAAATGTAGAAATACGGCTGGGTACAGTGGCTTACACCTGTAATCCCAGAGACATGAGAGGTTGAGGTGGGAGGATAGCTTGAACCCAGGAGTTCAGCTATGAGCATGTCAGTACACCACAGATTTTGTAATAAAGTGAGACCTTGTCTCTAAAATTTTTTTAAAAAGGAAATGTAACATTTCTATTCATGTTTTCTTATAATTATCATTAGACGTTACTCAACCAGAAAAACATTTATCTCCTTTTAAGTAATAGTAAATATTTTGGTAAAAGCCTAAAAATTTATTGTTGAAAGTTATAAAATAATCCTAAATCTTCTATAAAATTTTTATTTAAAAAATTTGCTTTTATTATTTATTTATTTATTCATTCATTCATTCATTCATTTACTTTTTGAGACAGAGTTTCACTCTTGTTGCCCAGGTGGGAGTGCGGTGGCGCGATCTCGGCTCACTGCAACCTCTGTCTCCCAGGTTCAAGCAATTTTCCTGCCTCAGCTTCCCAAGTAGCTGAGATTACAGGTGCCCGCCGCCATGCCCAGCTAATTTTTCTTTTTTTCTTTTTATTTTTTAGTAGAGACAGGGTTTTCACTATGTTGGCCAGGCTAGTCTTAAACTCCTGACCTCAGACGATCCACCCGCCTCAGCCTCCCACAGTGCTGGGATTACAGGTGTGAGCCACTGCGCCCGGCCAAAACTTGCTTTTAAAACTCCAACATTTCTTTTTAGACATCAAATGGCTTTTAAATCAATATTTTGATGATTTAATTATAAATGAATCATAAACATATGGATCAGCTTTCATTGAATGACACATGATATTAATAATGCAAAATGTTCTTGGCATAATGCAGTTTGGTTAGAGTTTATAAAAAATGTTTGAAAAGCTGATTCCATATTATTCAATATTATACAATCTAGCTTGGTGTATCAAAAATGTAAACAAATGAAATTTTCTTTTCTAATGTTTTGTCTCAAATATAACATTAAATTTTAAAATTTATAAACACTATTTTTTTTTTTGAGACAGAGTCTTGCTCTGTCACCCAGGCTGGAGTGCAATGCAGTGGCAATATTTCCCTTGAATCTTTGAATTGAGGCATTTTTAGTTAACTAAATATATTTTATTTATTTTAACTTGTTTAATTTGGTTACTATAGGTATATTATTCACTTAACAAATAGCATTTATTAATTTTCCCCCCAAAAGGCTTACAGGAGTAACTACATATTTGATCCAAAAATCTTAAAAAAAAAACAGAAGTTTTCAAAGAAAGAAACAAAAAGCAAGAGAAATACTACCTAGGTAGAAATAAACATGACTATCAAGTAAACATTTTGGTGTTGATATATGTTATCTTCTAGACATATATGTGTTTTCTAGACAAACACATATAATGTAGAGGCATATTAGAATCCCTTAACTTAGAGAAATATTACTATACATGATTGGCAAAAAAAAAAAAAAAAAAAAAGGAATAAGGTTAATTAAGAAGAAAGGCAATAAAGAAAGAAGGGAGGGAAGATGGAAGGAAGAGGAGATGGGAGAAAAGTAATGGTTTGCCAATTTGAGGTAATTCACCTGCCGTTCCCTCCAAGAGAGTTAAATTTGGAATAAGCGTGATATGGGAGAAGCAAATTCAGAGTTACCCAGCATCTTGAAACTTCACATTTCACCAAACTCAGTGTTTCAGTGTTTAAAAATTTCTTTTTCAAATGCAAGTCAATGACTTCATACAGTTTCTCGTTGCAACACTAGGAATCATTTCAGTTTGAGATGGGGGTGCAGGGAATAAATGTTTACAAGTGGTTGAGGTGAAATATGTTGAATTCTAATGTAGGACTTTCAAAAATTATTTTGAGATTGTTTTCTAGCAGATTTATTATTGTATAATTTATATATTTTAAATTTACTTATTTTAAAAGCATAATTAAATCATTTTTAGTAAATTCATAGAGCTCTTCAATTATCACAATTAAAATTTAGAATATTTTGAGGGTTTTGCCACTTTCCAAAATTTCTTGTGTCCATTTTCTTTGCAGTTAATTTATGTTCTCACCCCACCTCCAGCCCCAGACAACCACTAATATGCCTTCTGTCCCTATAAATACATCTTTTTGGACATTTCCTATACATGGAACCATACACTATGCAATCTTTTGCATCTGGCTTCCTTCTCTTAGCATAATATATTCAAGGGTCATAACCATGTGGTAATTTGTATCAGTATTCATTCATTTTTACAGCTGAATAATATTCCAGTATGTATATATATATACCACATTTACTATCCATTTATCAGTTGATACATATTTGAGTTGTTTCCACTATTGGCTACTATTCATAGCCAATTAGCAGTTGAACAATAGCCAATAGTGGAAACAACTCAAATGTGTATGAATAATGCTGCTATAAACATTTGCATAATAGTGTTTGTGTAAATGTATATTTTTTAAAAAATTTTCATGGGCATGTACTTAGAAGTGGGATTACTGGGTTACGTTATAACTTTTTCTTTAATATTTTGAGAAAATTTCAAACTGTTTTCCAAAGTGGCTGCATTAGTTTTTAAATTCACCAGCAATGCATGAGGGTTCAATTTCTCCTTATCCTCACCAATACTTATTATTGTCTATCTCTTTTATTGTAGCCACTAGTGTGCATAAACTGCGACCTCATTCTGGGTTTAATATGCATTTTTTTTAATGAATAATGATGTTGAGGATCTTTTCATTTGTCTAATAACCATTTACATATCTTCTTTAGAAAAATTTCTTTTCAAATTTTTTGCCCATTTAAAAAAATTGGTTTGTCTTTTAATTGTTAAATTGTAGTAATTTTTTGTATGTTCTAGATATTTGTCTTTGTTGGATATGTGATTTGCAAATATTTTCTACCCATAGTGTGAGCTTTTTTCACTTTGTTCATAGCTATCATTAAAGCTCAAAACCTTTTAATTATGATCAATCTTATTCATCTATTTTTTCCTAACATTCTGGTGTTATATCTGGAAATTCTTTTTCTAACACAATGTTATGAAGGTTTTATGTTTTCTTCTAAACATTTAAGCTATTGTGTTTAGGTCTATGATCCATTTTGCATTAGTATTTTTGTATGGCATGAGGTCAGAGTCTAATGCCATCTTTTTGTTTCTAGATAACTAATTTTCCCAACAATATTTGTTGAAAGATACTTCTTCAATTGTATCACCTTAGCAATTTTGTCAAAAATTAATTGATCATAAAGATTTATTTCTACATTTTCTTTTTTCCCATTACATTACATTCTGTTTTCATGCCAGTTTTATGATAATATGTTCTGATATCAGGGTGTGTAAATCCTCCAAGTTTGTTCTTGGTTTAGAAAAAGCATTTAATTCTTGCTCCTTTGTTTTTCCAGGTAAGTTTTAGGATCATCTTGTGGATATCCACACAAAAACTGTCTTACTAACACGTTGATAGAAGTTGCATTGAATCTACAGATCAATGTGGGGAGAATTGTCATCTTGAAAACATGGGCACTCCAGTCCATGAACTTGGAATGTGTTCTCATTTTTTAAATCTCATTTTTCCTGCACAAAAATTTGCAAAATTTTAGTTTATAAATTTTACAAGTTTTAAAAAAAATTATTCCTTAATACTTTGTTCCTTTTAATGCTTCTGTGAATATTACATTATAAAGTTAATTTCATAGGCTATAGTTAGTGTATAAAAATAAAAATTGATTTTTCTATATTGATGCAATTATATATTATTGAGATATGCTGATATACTTTTATATATTGATACATGTTGCTGGAATTGTTTATTAGTTTTGATGGGTTTTAGGAGGAATTCCTTATATTTTCTTCATATAGGGTCATGTCATCTGAAAATAAAATCAGTTATAGAACTTCTTATTTCTACCTTAATTAACTTATTTTATTTTTCCTTTGTCTTTCTTTTCTTTTTCCCTATTGTACCGCCTAGATCCTCCAATATAATGTTTGATAGATGTAGTGAGAGGGCACATCTTTGCCTACTTCCTGATCTTAGGGGAAAATTATTGTTTTTATTATTAAGTACATTGTTACTGCTAGGTTTTTTTTAGATGTGCTTTTTTATGTGGTTTGCCTGTTTCCCCACCCAAATCTCATTTTGTATTGTAATTCCCATAATCCTCACGTGTTGTAGGAGGGGCCCAGTGGGAGGTAATTGAATCATGGGGTCAGTCCCCAATGCTGTTCTGGTAACAGTGAGTGAGTTCTCATAAGATCTGGTGGTTTTATAAGGGGCTTTTCCCTCTTTGCTTGGCACTTCTCCTTCCTGCCACCATGTGAAGGACGTGTTTGCTGCTCCTTCTGCCATGATCGTAAGTTTCCTGAGACCTCCCAGCCCTGTGTAACTGTGAGTCAATTAAACCTCTTTCCTTTATAAATTACTCAGTCTCAGGTAAGTCTTTATTAAGCAGTGTGAGAATGGATTAATACACTTTCTCAAGACAAGGAAGCTCCATTTGGCTCTTTTATATAATTTTTATCTTTTTATTGATACTCTGTTTGATGAGTCATTGTAGTCACACCTTCCTTTAGTTTTTTAACATGATTTTCTCTGGACATATTTATAATAGCTGTTTTAAAGTCTTCAACAACAAAGCCCAACATCTGGATTCCCCATAAGTAATTTTTATTGACTTTTTTTTTGTTTCTTGTGTATAAGTATCACTTTACTGTTTTTTCACTTGTATTAAGATTTTTGAAACTGGACAATTTAGATAATATTTTGTAGCAATCCTGGATTCTTATTCCCACTTCATGAAGGTTTTATTGTTTATGTTTTTTGTTTTGCTTTGTTTAGTGACTTGCCTGGAGCAATCCTCTAGAGTCTATCTCCCACATGCTGTACTGTTACCAGTGATTCTTCAGGGATTTTTTGTGTGTGTGTGTAATTATTGTTTTTATTTTTAAGCCTGGCAGTTGAGGGGTCACTTCTATGTCAGCATATCTTAGTGGTTGGTCAATTATTGCTGGAACTTTTTGCTCAAATCTTTGGTTCTGGAAGCCTTCTATACTTTGCCATTCATCTATATTTTCTAATTTCTTATTTTCTGAAGCCAATATATTGTGGTCAGTCACATAAAAATTCTAAACAAAACATTACCAAGTGGAATATAACAATATATCTCTATCTAAATCTCTCTCTCTCTCTGTCAATCAAGTTAGGTTTAGTCCATAAATTCCATAAATTGGCTTGACATTAAAACAGTATAATTTAACCATTTAATGAAATGTAGGAAAAAAACAATTACATTATTATTTGCATGGATGTACAAAAATCATTTGATAAAATTCAATCCTCATAAACATAATATGAAGTAAAATGGGTCAGACATTGAAGATCACATACTATATAATTTCTTTTATGTATATTTAAAAACAGGTAAAATTAAACCACAGAGTTTACAAATGCAAAATTATTTACTAAAATTATTTAAAAAAACAAACAATTACTAAAAAATTAGGTTAGGGTTTACCTGTGTAAGATAGAAGGTAGTGATTGGTAGGGTACAGGGGGATCTTCAGGATTGGCATTATTTTATTTCTTGACCTAAATGATGGCTGATAGTTCATTTTGTGATAAATAATTGAGTTGTATAACTTTATCTTGTGTACTTTCTCTGTGTTTATTTATTTTAAGTAAAAAGTTATACCGTATTAATTATCTTTATTGCTGTGATGGTTTCATGGGTGTATACATGTTAAAACTTGTCAAATTATATGCTTAAAATAATGTGCTTTATGTCAATTATAAATAAGGTTAATTATAAAGATGTAAAGGTATTTTAAATGTATTGTTTGTTTAAAAAGAACGAGCACTATATGTTTGGTAATAAGCGTAAGATTCTTAAGAAATGAACTTAACCTTAAGAAATGAACTTCCAGGCCTCAAAATAGACTTTTATCTATCTATTATTTGTTTTATTTTGTAGGTGGAAAGAAAACTTTAACTGCACCTGGAAAGGCTGGAGCATGCAATATTTTTTTAAATACCTGATTAACACCTGCTTAAATATTTTCTTCCAATCTTTAATTAAACAGTTAAGGTAAGACTTCATTTTCTAGATATATAATCAGACTGAGCATGAATAATGCTCTACAGCTGCTAATTTCCCTTTCCAAAGACAGAGTTAAACAGAAAAAGGTTCTTTACTTTCTAAAAGAGGGTATTGAAAAACGGCGTTCTTCATTTTTAAAAGAAACAAAAATCTCAGAATAGAAAATATGTACATGTAACTAGAGAAAACAATTGCCAGCATTTTTTAATTCTGAAAATTACAAATACATATTTCTCCTCATCCTAACAGAATTGTCTGAAGAGTCCAAAGTAAAATTTAGTTAGATCATAAAATAATAAGGCCAACAGATTCCTCTCACATATTGACTACTACTGATAATTTAGGATGTACTTCAAAGTCTAGAGAAGGCATTTTTACATTGAGTATATAATGCTTAAGTTAATATTTACAAAATAGTATTTTCAAAAGCATGTTATCAAATGTCTTATTTTCTGATTTGCAGAATTTTAGGGCTTTTTTCAATCCCTTGACTAGTAAATTGTCTTCTTAAATATTGCAATGTATTTGATACAGAAAAAGAAGAAAGATAAAAGTGGGAAGGAAAAACAGAGGAGAGAGTGAGGGAGGGTATATAGAGAGAGGGAAGAATAGAAGTAAGTAATATAATCATCATAACCCCATAGCTAGTTTTAAGGCTAATGGTCACGTTTTAGTTAAGGGACAATACTTTGTTCATCATATGCAATGTATACTAGTGTGACTGAGAGCAATAGTATCTACTTTCTATGTATATGTCAACTTTCTTGTGGGAAGGGAGAGGAAGATGACTCATGGGAATACCTCTGTTCATGTGGTGGCCAAGCACTGATTTCTAGAGCCAGCCTGTGTGTGTTTCCATTGTGTCTCTATGGCTTACTTGCAGTGTGACCCCAGGCAAGTCACTTAATCATGGTACCTCAGTTTTCTCAGCTATGAAACGGGGATAATAGTCATACAACCTCATGTGGTTGTTGTAAGAATTAAAGTGTTCATATATTGAAAGGGCTCAGAACACTGCTTGGCACATAATATGTTCTATGTAAATGTTTGGTATTATTATTTTTTACTATTACCATATGCATGTGATAATTGTTAGTGCTTATTAAAACGAATTTCTTGCAAAACGCCATATTTTTATTTATTTTAAATGTTCGTTTTCTTAACATTAAAACAATCCACCCTACCTGATATGGTTTGGCTGTGTCCCCACTCAAATCTCATCTTGAATTGAGGTTCCCATATTTCCTACATGTTGCGGGAGAGACCCACTGGCAGGTAATTGAATCATGGTGACAGTTACCTCCATGCTGTTCTCATGATAGTGGGTGAGTTCTCGTGAGATCTGATGGTTTTATAAGGGGATTTCCCCCCACTTTGCTCTGCACTTCTCCTTGCTGCTGCCATATGAAGAATGACATGTTTGCTTCCCCTTCCACCATGAATGTAAGTTTCTTGAGGTCTCCCCAGCCCTGAGGAACTGTGAGTCAATTAAACCTCTTTCCTTTATAAATTACCCACTCTCGAGTTTTCATAGCAGTGTGAGAACGGACAAATACACTACCCATGACAATTAAATTATTCCTGTATGGTACCATGAAGCTGTGCCACAGCAAATAGTTTGTAAAAAAGTTATTCTAAGAAATATTGATTTACTCCATGCTGGTATCAGAGGTACATGGATCAATCCAGATTCAAAACCCATTGAAATAATACATCATATTTGATCTCATCCAGTGAAAAATATCTTATAACCTTTAGAATTAAGGCAACTTAAGTGAATGAATCATAGAAAAGCTTGTAAATTTATCGCCTGTTTCATAAAAAGGCCCTTTGGAGATTTTCTGAAATAAATTCATTCCATCCTAAAACTTTTTGATATAAATATTTTCCACAAAATATTAATTTTTAATTAATTTGACATAGTGATAAATGAATTCCAGGTGACATAATGGTAATGTTATCAGATGTTATCTTTATAGTATCCATCTGGCAAAATTATGAGTTACCAATATAATGCTTCAGTGAAGAATGGAGAATAATGCTAGAAGCTTCGAGCAGTCATAAAATAGGAGGAACTGTCTGTGAAAACTATCCCCTTAGACTAGTTTCACTGATACCCTCTTGTAATCTATTAATAAACTATTAATAAGTAATCATAATATTAAGAAAATTAAGAATTAATGAGGCAAGGAAAATATTAATTACACCAAAAAGTATCTGATTACTTCAATGGAGAGTGTATACAATTGTAGTGGATACTGTTTGTGCTCTACCGAGATTAATTTAGTGGCAGGTGCATCCATCCCCAGCTGCCATTAGTGTTAGCTACAAATGGTTCATGGCTGCCTCCTTCTCTGGACAACTGGCATTACCATGAGAGCTACCTCACCAAGGAAGTTCCCTCTCACACCTCATCCCTGACACATCTGTAAACCAGGTACAGCCTGAATCCTTTTCTTAAGCTCTGCTTCTGTGTAGCACAAACTAAGAGACCAGTCTCCTCAAAGACAATCAAGAGGAAAAATATCTAGAATTTAAAGAAGCTGTAAGAAGCCTTGTTTAAATATGATTGTTAGTCCCTGCTAAAGTAGTGAATCAAGTTTTTCTGTTATTATTCCAAAAGAAATAAGTCTTTTTGTACTGTTAGAACACATGGACTACATTGTCTTCTATATATGGAAGCCTAGCAGTGTGTGTGTCTCTGTGTGTATTTGTGTGTGTGTGTGCCTGTTTGTGCACAGGATACTTTTCTGAATCACAATTGGATATAACCCACATGCGTACACACACACACGCACACACACATGGCATTTTGTTGTGCCGTTCGCTGATTGTAATCAGTAAAATAAAATGTGCAAATTCAGGAGAAAATGGACTGAAAAAAGAGTTTCAGCATTATTTTAAACTGTTTCTTTCAAATAATTAATTTTCTATGATTGCTATTTATGGATTCAAAATTTCTATAAGTTGTATAAAAGAAATTAAGATATATCTTTGTCATCAAATAAATATACCTGAGTGAATGTGAGACCACCTCTCAGGACTTGTAACATAGATAATTTATAGGTGGCAAGTCAATTCCCTACAGAACTAAATGTAAAATTGCATTTTATTTTAAAATTGAAAATAACTTTTAAGAATAAATTAAACAAGCCTCTTCTCTTTTACCACATTATCTGCTGCACTGTTAGAAATAGATATTCTTAGTCTGCATGGTTTTAATTCTCAAGAAGTTTGGTATTATTTATATTTTCTACAATATGATCATCTAGTAAGTAAATTCTGTATTGATCTCTGTATGGATTAACCCTCCCCGAGGCACTAAGAGAAGGATAATATAAAATAGATATTAAGAGATGCAAAGAAACATGCTGATTATGTTTATTTGATTTATCTGTCTATTGACTCATCAAGTAAAAAGAAATTGCTCTGCTTGCGTGAATTTAACCCTTCCTACTTATACTTATCTCACCTCTGCCCCCCCATAGGATATTATTGAATGTGGCATAAGGTCCTGGTGGTATATAACTTGTCAGTTGGACAAGTGGTGACTGATAGAATTCCTTAAGGCAGTTAGGGCCTAAAGGTCATGAGAGCAGAAAATAAGCAGAAAAACTGAGATCATTCCCATTTGACTAAACCAGCACTCATGTCAGGTCTCTTTTCTCTCAACTCATTATAAGTAGGATGCTATTGTGCATGTGTGTGAAGGGAAGAAGGGATTACTGGATATTCCAAGTATTCTAATTTTGCTTATTTTTTGTCCAGCATGAGGTTGAAAGGTGTCTAGCATTTTCCAGTGAAGAATGCAGTGGCTAGGAAAGGTTCTTTTAAACTGAAATAGGAAAATAGTCTTAATTCTAACATGAGATGGTTGGAAACACCAAATAACTTGAGTTTGCACATAGACAGATAAAGAGTAATGAGGGAGAACACAGGAGGAAAGGGGAGAAGATTCAAAGTAAGGAAAAGGGACAAGAAAAAAATCTAAACTTTACCTAAAATTGTTGAGGCACTTATGATTTTTGCTGTTACTGAGCTTAGTGGCTATTATCAGTATTCTTATTAAAAATTAACAAGAAAAGTCTGACTATATTTCTGGAAGGCCTGTCAGATAAGATAAAAGAGACTAGGGAGGATATAGGAGAATAAATACAGAAATATCAAACATCAAATATTTAAGAAGAAAAGAAAAATAAATATATGTTGAACATGCCATTATATTGGCAAAAGAAAAAAAATAATATTATGGAAATTGAATTGCTTTAAAGAAAATATCCCTCCCTCCAATTTTCTTATTTTGGTGACATTTTAAGACTTAAGAAATTATTTAAATTTATGACATTCTATGTCTCTTTTAAAGGCTCTTAATACTCTACTCCATGGTGCAAGTTCTCCTAAATATCAAAAGAATTAAAAATAAATATGAAAATATATTTTAAAACTTAACATAAAAAATACAATCACAACATGAAGCCCGGTAGTCAATCCATTAACAGAATATTTTTAAAAAATTTCAGTAGCTTTAGGGGTACAAGTGGTTTTGGTTATGTGAATTAATTGTATACTGATGAAGTTTGGGCTTTTAATGTTCCTGTCACTGAATAGTGTGCATTGTACCCAATAGGGAGTTTTTGCTCTCTAACACCCCTCCCAATCACCTCGACTCTGAGTCCAATGTCCATTATACCATTCTGTATGCCTTTTCATATACATAGCTTAGCTCCCACTTGTAAGTAGAACATGTGGTATTTAGTTTTCCATTCCTGAATTTCTTCACTTAGGATAATGGCCTCCAGTCCAATTCAAGTTTCCACAAAAGACATTATTTTATTCCTTTTTATGATTGAGTGTTACACCATGGAATACTATGGTATATATATATATACATACACACATATACACATATATACACACACACATATATACATATATATACACACACATATGTGATATATATGTGTGATATATAGATACATATATGTGATATACACATATATTTGTGGTCTAATTATATTTTCTTTTTTCATTCACTGGTCAATGGACACTCAGGTTGATTCCATATCTTTGCAATTGTGAATTGTGCTGTAATAAACATATGAGTGCAAGTGTTTTTTTTTTTTTTTTGATACAATGACTTCTTTTCCTTTGAGTGAATATCTAGTAGTAAAATTGCTGGCTCAACTGGTAGATCTACTTAGAATCTTGAAAGAATTTCCAGAAAAACAAGAGGGATGGGAGATGGCTTATGAACAAGATTAGTGAGCTATATATATTTAGCTGCTGATATTTTTGAAACAAGGTGGAAAAACCTTTCCTCCCACACATTCTAGTTCATAACATCAAAGTTCAAGTGAATTATAGTCTAAAAATTAGGCATCCATTTCTCTACTAAAAGATGTTTCTCTTGAGAAAGTTACAATATCTCTGTCTAAGTATCCTTCATATATGTTACTTTTAGAGGTTTGATATGGTTTGGGTATGTGTCCCCACCCAAATATCACCTTGAATTGTAATAATCCCCACATGTCAAGGGACAGACCCAGCGGGAGGTAATTGAATCATGGGGGTAGCTTTTTTTCATGCTAGTCTGGTGATAGTTAATAAGTCTCACGAGATCTGATGGTGAAGATCAGGGAAGTTCCCCTGAACATGTTCTCTTGCTTGCTGCCATTAAAGACATGCCTTTGCTTCTCCTTCCCCTTCACCAAGATTGTGAGGCTTCCCCAGCCATGTGAAACTGTGAATCCATTAAATCTCTTATCTTTACAAATTATCCAGCTTTTCCAAATTATCCAGTCTTGGGTATGTCTTTATTAGCAGATTTGACTTCCATAACACAATTTGGCAAGAACAGAGCATTGAAAGTAGATTTTTGCACTCTGAGAGGTATGGACCTGTTGAGAGCCCAGAAATACATTTCTGTGGAAATTTTTGTCTAGTTCATATTTAGTTTATCAGGAATGTACAAGAACCAAGCTGTGGAGATATAATGAGATTCTCAATTTAGTCCAACACACCAGAAAAGAGCCTGCTGGACACTTAGGTTGTACCTGTCAAATTTTACAATTACAGAGCTGAAGAGGGCATTCCAGTTGGTACTCAAGCAGTTGGTGGATTTAAAAAAAAAGGCAAGAAAATATCTGCAACTACTAGATCTGAACATATTTTATACTAAACTAATAATAATTAAATAATAATAACAAACATGTAGTATATATAAAATAAAAACAAAACATCATCCTAGAAACTTGAGAGAACCATAGCTAAAAAGTTGTCTATTACAAAACTAGGATTTTTTTAAAAAAACAACTTGGTAACCACAGTGCTATGTAAGAAGATATTGCTATGAGGAAACCACAAGGTGAATTTTGAAAAATCTATAGGAAAAAAAAAAGCAGTAAACTGCAATTAGATTTTATTTTCATTAATTTCAATTTTATATTTTACATTACATAGAGCACCAAAAGATTGAAAAAAACAGATAAGCAAAAAGTAGCATTTTTTAAGATCCTTTTATAGGTTATTAGTAAAAGATGGAAATTGCTGAAATCAAATCAGTAATGCAGAGGACAAACTTGTGAAGCTCTCCCAAAAGCAGAGGAAAAGGATTTTTTTAAAAAAGATAAAATTGAAAAGAGAGACAGGGAGAGATCCTTCCTAAAAATCACAGGATTCTTGAAAAAGAAATCAGAGCTGGGAGAAGCAACAGACAAAGATGTAATAAAGTGGAAAACAAAAGCTTTCCTGAGGTTAAAAAAAAAAGCCAAGACAACAGCTGGCAATTTTTGGTAACAATTATATTCCTGCCAACACAGGAATACATATTTAGTGAAAAATCTTTGGAGTATGAGAGAGAGAGAAAGAGAGACAGGAAGACAGAGAGAGTTAGTTAAAGTCAAGAAGGGAAACAAAAACAAGATGGGACACTAGACGTATGTGAAGCCTCTGGCATTTACAGCTACTGAAAACCGGAAACGCAGCCCAAGTCCTACTCAGACTAACATAAATCCTCATGTTAAAGGCCTATTTATCTCAGTGCCTGTTCCTGATAAAATATGTCTGGCTTTCAACAACAAATTTGAAGACATATCAAAAGAAGGTAAGAAAACACAATCTGAAAAAGACAAAAGAAACATCAGAACCAGGTACATATGTGAAAGAGATGTTACAATTATTGTACAGAGAATTTAAAATAACTATCATTAATATTTAATGGATGTCATGGAAAAAGTAGACATGATTCAAGAACAGACGGATAATAAATGTAGAGAGATAGAAAAATTTAAGAAATAATCAAAAGCATATACTGGAAAAAGAAAACCTATAATAGAACTGAAAAATGCCTTTGATGAACTCATTAGTAGACTGAGCATGGCTAATGAAAGGATAAATGAGCTTGAAGATAGATCAAAGTGCAAGGTAAAGAAGAAAAAAGGGTCGAATAAATAGAACAGAATATCCACGAACTGTGGGAACATTTCAAAAAGTATGACATATGTGTAATTAGAATACCACTAAGATAAGAGAGAGGCACTGAAGCAAAAAACTGTATGTATATTTAAATAGTGGTTGAGAATTTTCCAAAATAAATGATAAACACTAAGCCACAGATCCGGAAATCTCAGAGATCACCAAGAAGGACAAATACCAAAACAAACAAACAAAATCAACACATTCAAATTGCAGAAAACCAAAGAGAAAAGAACATCTTTAAAAAAGCAGTGGTGGTAATGGTAGGGGCACTTCAGGTATAGAGAAGCAAGTATAAGAATTACAGTAGATTTCTTGTGAGAGCCATGTAAGCATAAGAGTGGAGTGAAATATTTAAAATATTGAAATATAAAATACACCAACCTAGAAGTCTAAATCCAGCAAAATTATTCTTCAAAAGTGAAAAAGAAAGTCTTTGCAGAGAAACAAAAACTGGAAGGATTAATCTCAAGCAGACATTCCCTGTTAGAATTGTTAAAAGAAGTTCTTCCCAGAAAAAAAAATTATGTAAGTCAGAAACTTGGATCTACATAAGGAATGGAAGAGTATTAAAGAAAAAATAAATAAAGTTAAATAAAATATTTTGGGAGCAGGGTCAAGATGGCTGACTAGAAGCAACAGTGATCAGAGGCTCCCATCAAAGAGAACCGTAACAACTTGCAAATCCTGCACCTGCAACCAAGGTATCCATGTTCTATCATCAGAATGGACTAGGCAGCTGGCATGACCAGCTCCATGGGGAGAGGAAGGAAGAATAGTGTGGTGCAGCAGACCACCTGAGAGAGGCACAGGGCAGGGGACCCCCCAAACCCCAGTCAAGGAAGGCAGTGAGTGAGCATGCTACTCAGCCTGGGAAAACGTGCTTTTTCCACCTGTAACACATGGATTGGAAAACCCCACCCGTGAGCCCATGCCACCAGTGCCTAGGGTCCCAACCACAGAGCTGCGCAGATTCTCAACAGCCACTAAGCTAGAATCTGCTAAAGCCTGCCGAGCTCCAGGAAGAGGGGCGACCAGCACCACACGTGTGGCTGCCTGCAGTCTAAGCCATTTGGGCTCCTTGGGAGAGGGGCGACAGCCAACGCTCGGACTGATAGCGGCCTAACACACTAAGCTCCCAGGGCAGGGAAAAGGTGGCGGCCATCTTTATAGCTCAGGGCCACGCTTTTCCACTGCTGGAGTTGGGGAGGCTGGACAGCTTGGTCCCGAGAGGTATCCCGCACAGCCTAATACACTGGCTGTGGCAGACTGAGGACAGAGTGCCTCCAGTCCTGACCCTGACCCATCCCGCCTCACTCGGCAGGGCCTCCCTGCAGGAACTCCAACAACTCCAGCCAGGGGTTCAGGGACGGAACTCTGATCTCCTTGGTCCTGAGCCCCTAGTGGGAGAGGTGGCCGCTGTCTCCACAGACCAGCAGACTTAGTCTTTCCTCCTGCTAGTTCTGAGCAATCTGGGCAGCCCAGAAGAGTGGGTTTCCCCGGGGTGAAGCACAACTCCTCCACCAAATGACAGTCAAAGTGTTTCGTCAAATGGGTCCTGCTCCCTGTGGCACTCAACTGGGTGAGACCCTCCAACAGGAGTTGACAGACACCCTGTACAGGAGGGTTCCTAATGGCATCAGGTCAGTGTTCCTCGAGGTCAGAGATGCCAGAGGGAAAATCAGATACCATTCTCCAGCCTCCTTGAGAGGTAACTCCAGGCACAAGAGTGAACCAGATGAATAGCGCCTGAAGTGAACCCTCAGCAAACTGCAGCAGCCCTACAGAAGAGGGACCTGACCATTGCAAACAAAACAAAACAAAACAAAACAAAACAAAACAGAAAGCAAGAAAAACAGCATCAACAAAAAAAAGTCCTCACAAAAACCCCATCCAAGGGTCAGCAGCCTCAAAGATCAATACTAGACAAACTGACAAAGATGAGAAAGAATCAACAACAACAACAAAAAAAAACGCTGAAAACTGAAAGGCAGAGTGCCTTTATTTCCCCTCCAAATAATCACAGCACCCCTCCAGCAAGGGCTTAGAACTGGATGGTGGTTGACACAGATGAATTGACAGAAGTAGGCTTCAGAAGGTGGGTGATAACAAACTACACTGAGCTAAAGGAGTGTGTTCTAACAGAATGCAAAGAAGCTAAGAATCTTGATAAAAAGTTAGAGGAGCTGCTAACTAAAATAACCAGTTTAGAGAGAAACATAAATGACAAAATGGAGCTGAAAAACACAGCACAAGAACTTCCTGAATCATACACAAGTGTCAATTGCCAAATCGACCAAGCGGAAGAAAAAATATCAGAATTTGGAGACCATTTTGCTGAATTGAGGCATGCAGACAAGATTAGAGAAAAAAGAATAAAATGAATGAACAAAACATCCAAAAAATATGAGATTATGTAAAAAGACTGAACCATACAATTGATTGCAGTACCTGAAAGAGACGGGGAGAATGGAGCCAAGCTGGAAAACAACCTTCAGGATATTATTCTAGGAGAACTTACCCAACCTACCAAGATAGGCCAACATGCAAATTCAGGAAATACAGAGAACTTCACTAAGATACTCCACAAGAAGATCAACCCCAAGACACATAATCATCAGATTCTCCAAGGTGAAAAAGAAGGAAAAAATGTTAAGGGCAGGCAGAGAGAAAGCTCAAGTCACCTACAAAGGGAAGGCCATCAGACTAACAGCAGACCTCTCCATAGAAACCACACAAGCCAGAAGAGATTGGAGGCCAATATTCAACATTCTTAAAGAAAATAATTTTCAACTCAGAATTTCATATCCAGCTAAACTAAGTTTCATAAGCGAAGGAAAAATAAAATCCTTTCCAGACAAACGAATATTGAAGGATTTCATCACCACCAGCTCTGCCTTGCAAGAGCTCCTGAAGGAAGGACTAAATATGGAAAGGAAAATCCAGTACCAGCCACTGCAAAAACAAACCAAAATATAAACAGCAATGACACTATAAAGAAGATGCCTCAACTAGTGTGCAAAATAACCAGACAGCATCATGATAACAGGATCAAATTCACACATAACAATATTAACATTAAATGTAAATGGGCTAAATGTCCCAATTAAAAGGCACAGACTGGCAAATTGGATAAAGTGTCAAGAACAATTGGTGTGCTGTATTCAGGACACCAATCTCATGTGCAAAGACACACATAGGCTCAAAATAAAGGGATGGAGAAATATTGACCAAGCAAATGGAAAGCAAAAAAAAAAAAAAAAAAAAAAAAAGCAGTTGTTGCAATCCTAGTCTCTGACAAAACAGACTTTAAACCAACAAAGATCAAAAAAGACACAGAAAAGCATTACATTAATGGTAAAGGGATCAATTCAACAAGAAGAGCTAAGTATCCTAAATATATATGCACCCAATACAGGAGCACCCAGATTTATAAAACAAGTTCTTCGAGACCTACAAAGAGACTTCGACTCTCACACAATAATAGTGGGAGACTTTAATACCCCACTATCAATATTAGACAGATCAACAAGACAGAAAATTAACAAGGATGTTCGGGACTTGAAGCTCTGGATCAAGTGGACCTAATAGACATCTACAGAACTATCCACCCCAAATCCACAGAATATACATTCTTCTCAGTGCCACATGACACTTATACTAAATTTGACCACATAATTTGAAGTAAAATACTCCTCAGCAAATGCAAAATAATTGAAATCATAACAGTCTCTCAGACCACAGTGCAATCAAATTAGAACTCAGGATTAAGAAACTCACTCAAAACCACACAATTACATGGAAATTGAACAACCTGCATGATTCCTGGGTAAATAATAAAATTAAGGCAGAAATCAATATGTTCTTTGAAACCAATGACAACAAAGAGACAATGCCCCAGAATCTCTGGGACACAGCTAAAGCAGTGTTTAGAAGGAATTTATAGCACTAAATGCCCACATCAAAAAGCTAGAAAGACCTCAAATCGACACCCTAACATCACAATTAAAAGAGCTAGAGAAGTAACAGCAAACAAATCCAAATGCAGCAGAAGACATGAAAGCACTAAGATCAGAGCTGAACCAAAAGAGGTAGAGAAACAAAAACCCTTCAAAAAAAATCAATGAATCCAGGAACTGCTTTTCAGAAAAACAAAAAAACAAAAACTATTAGCTAGACTAATAAAGAAGAAAAGGGAGATGAATCGAATAGACACAATACAAAATAATGAAGGGGATGTAAACACTGATCCACAACAATACAAACTACCAGCAGAGAATACTATGAACACCTCTACGCAAGTAAACTAGAATATATAGAAGAAATGGACGAATTCCTGGACACATAAACCCTCTCAAGACTAAACCAGGAAGAGGTAGAATCCCTAAATAGACCAATAAAAAGTTCTGAAATTGAGGCAGTAATTAATAGCCTACCAACCAAAAAAAGCCCAGAACCAGACAGAGTCACAGCCAAAGTCTATCAGAAATACAGAGAGGAGCTGGTACCATTCCTTCTGAAACTATTTCAAACAATTGAAAAGGAAGGACTCCTCCATAACTCATTTTATGAGGCCAGCATCACCCTGACACCAAAACCTGGCAGAGAAGCAACAAAAAAAGAAAACTTTAGGCCAATATCCCTGATAAATATCAATGCAAAAATTCTCAATAAAATACTGGCAAACCAAATCCAGCAGCACATCAAAAAATTTAGCCACTATGATCAAGTCGGCTTTATCCCTAGGATGCAAGGCTGGTTCAACATACACAAATCAATAAATTTAATCCATCGTATAAACAAATCAATGACAAAAACCACATGAACATCTCAATAGATGCAGAAAAAGGCCTTTGATAAAATTCAACATCCCTTCATGTTAAAAGCTCTCAATAAACTAGGTATTGATGGAACATATCTCAAAATAAAAAGAGCTATTTATGACAAACCCACAGCCAACATCATACTGAATGGGCAAAAGCTAGAAGCATTCCCTTTGAAAACTGGTACAAGACATGGATTTCCCTCTCTCAGCACTCCTGTTCATCATAGTATTGGAAGTTCTGGACAGGGCAATCAAGCAAGGGAAAGAAATAAAGGGTACTCCAACAGGAAAAGAGGAAGTCAAATTGTCTCTGTTTGCTAACAACATGATTGTATATTTAGGAAACCTCATTGTCTCAGCCCAAAAACTCCTTAAGCTGATAAGCAACTTTAGCAAAGTCTCAGGAGACAAAATTAATGGGCAAAAATTACAAGCATTCCTATACACCAACAATAGACAAGCAGAGAGCCAAACCATGAATGAACTCTTATTCATAATTACTACAAAGAGAATAAAATACCTAGGAGTTCAGCTAACAAGGGATGTGAAGGACCTCTTCAAGGAGAACTACAAACTGCTTTTCAAGGAAATAATAGAGGATACAAACAAATGCAAAAGCATTCCATCCTCATGGGTAGGAAGAATCAAAGAATCAATATCTTTAAAATGGACATACTGACCAAAGTAATGTATAGATTCAGTACTATTTCAATCAAACTACCATAGGCATTGTTTCTAGAATTTAAAAAAAAACTACTTTAAATTTCATATAGAACCAAAAAAGAGCCTGTATAGCTAAGACAATCCTAAGCAAAAAGAACAAAGCTGGAGGAATCATGCTACCTGACTTCAAACTGCTACAAGGCTACAGTAACCAAAACAGCATGGTACTGGTACCAAAACAGACTTATAGACCAATGGAACAGAACAGAGACCTCAGAAATAACAACCACACATCTACAACCATCTGATCTTGGACAAACTGGAGAAAAACAAGAAATGAAGAAAGGATTCCCTATTTAATAAATGGTGCTAGGAAGACGGGCTAGTCATATGCAGAAAACTGAAACTCGATTCCTTCCTTGCACCTTATACCAAAATTAACTCAAGATGGATTAAATACTTAAATGTAAAGCCTCAAACCATAAATACTCTAGAAGAAAACCTAGGTAATATCATTTAGGACATAGGCATGGGCAAAGACTTCATGATGAAAACCCAAAAGCAATTGCAATCAAAGCCAAAAGTGACAAATGGGATCTAATTAAGCTAAAGAGCTTCTGCACAGCAAAAGAAACTATCATCAGAGTGAACAGGCAATCTACCGAATGGGAAAAAACTTTTGCAATCTCTCCATCTGACAAAGGGCTAATATCCAGAATCTACAAGGAACTTAAACAAATTTACAAGAAAAAAACAAACAACCCCATCAAAAAGTGGGTAAAGGATAGGAACAGACATTTCTCAAAAGAAGACATTTGTGTGGCAAACGAACATATGAAAAAAACCTCATCACTGATCATTAGAGAAATGCAAATCAAAACCACAATGAGATACCATCCCATGCTAGTTAGAATGGTGATTATTAAAGTCAGAAAACAATAGATGCTGGTGAGCCCGTTGAGAAATAAGAACACTTTTACACTGTAAGTGGGAATGTAAATTAGTTCAACCATTGTGGAAGACAGTGTGGCAGTTCTTGTAGGATCTGGAACCAGAAATACTATTTGACCCAGCAATTTTATTACTGGGTATGCACCCAGAGGAATATAAATCATTCTAATATAAAGAAACATGCACACATATATTTATTGCATCACTGTTTACAAGAGCAAAGACATGGTATGAACCCAAATGCCCATCAATGATACATTTGATAAAGAAAATGTGGCACATATATACCATAGAATACTATGCAGCCAGAAGAAGGAATGAGATCATGTCCTTTGCAGTGACATGGATGAAGCTGGAAGCCACCATCCTCAGCAAACTAACACAGAAACAGAAAACCAAACACCTCATATTCTTACTCATAAGTGGGAATTGAAGTATGAGAACACATGGACACAGTGCAGGGGACAACACAAACTGGGGCCAGTCGGGGTATAGAGGGTGAGGGGAGGGAGAACATTAGGACAAACAGGTAATGCATTCAGGGCTTAAAACCGAGATGATGGGTTGATAGGTGCAGCAAACCACCAAGGCACTCGTATATGCATGTAAAACAAACCTACACATTCCGCACCTGTATTCCAGAACTTAAACTAAAATTTTTAAAAAAGAAAAAATCACACAATATTCAAAGTATATTATAAAAGTAGTTAAAATTCAATATACTTCTAGACATGGAAACACATTCATGATATATTGTTCAACCAGAAAAATCAGATTAAAACATGGAGTTTATGAAAAAAAAAAGAAACATGCACTCATATTTTCATTACCACGCCATTCACAATAGCAAAGACAGGGAATCAACCCAGGTGCCCATTAATGGTGGATTGAATAAAGAAAAGGTACTGCATATGCACCATGAAATACTACACAGCCATAAAAAGAATGAAATCATGTCCTTTGTGGGAACATGGATGCAGCTGGAGGCCATTATCCTAAGTGAATTAATGTAGGAACAGAAAACCAAATACTTCATGTTCTCACTTATAAGTGGGAGCTAAGCAATGAGTACACATGGACATAAAGATGGCAACAATACACACTGGGGACTACTAGAGGGTGGAGACAGGGGCAAGGGCTGAAAAACTACTTATTGGCTACTATGCTCATTACCTATGTGATGGGATCATTCATCCCCCAAACCTCAGCATCACACAATAAACTTGCACACTTATCCCCTGAATCTAAAATAAAAGCTGAAATTATTTTTTAAAAAGAAATAAAGATAAAAATACAGTAAAATTTTTTTGTATTATTAATTGATATAAAATATAACTGGTTAGGTAATAATAGTGGCAAAGTATTGAGTGATTATAGCACACACAGAGACAAGTGAAATGAATGACAGCAATATAATAGTGATCAGAGGGATGGAATGGGACTACTTTTTAAGAAGTACCTGCACTGCACATGAAGTGATATAATATTATTTGAAGGTGGAATTAGATTAGTTTAAAATGTATATTGAAAATTTTAGGTAAAACCAAATTTTTTAAGAAAGAATTATAATGGATACCCTGAGAGAAGAGATACAATGGAATCATATAAAATGCCCAAGTAAAATCAATGAAGACAGAAAAGGAGGGGCAAAAAATATACAAAGAACAAATATGGTTAATGGAAAACAGTTATAAGAATTGTGGATAATAATACAAATATGGAGAAATTACTTCATATCTTAATACTGTAAATATACCAATTAAAATATAGATTTTCTAAGTAGGTAAAAAGCAAAAAAAAACTAGGCCCAACTACGTATTGTCTACAAGATAACCACTTTACGAAGACTGAGGTAGGTTAAAGTAAAAGCATAGAGAAATAATACTAACCAAAAGAAAGCAGTAGTAGCATCACTAATTTTGGACAAAGCTGATTTCAAAACAAAGAAAATTATGAAGAATACATAGAAGCATTGCATAGTAATAAAGGGGCCAATTTCCACAAAGACATAGTCATTCTAAACATGTATACACTTGTCAACCAAGTATCAGGACACCTAAGATCAGAGGCTAAAACTGAGACAATTGAAAAAGAAATAGACAAATCCACTATTATAGTAAAAGATTTCAACACTTCTTCTTCAGTAATTGACAGACCAAACAGACAGAAAAGCAGTAAAAATGTAGTTGACTGGAATAACACTATTAACAACTTTATGCAATTGACATTTGTAGATTGCTTCATACAACAACAGCAGAATATACATCTTTTTCAAGCACAAATGGAGTATTCAACAAGATAGATTACACTGGGAACATTAAAACACACCCTTAAAAATTTAAAGGAATAAAATTCATACATAGTATGTTTTCAGAAAGTAATAGAAGCTAGAAATCAATAATCGATTGCTAAAAATCTTCAAATACCGGAAAATTAAACAATGCCCTTGTAAAGTAATACATGAGTCAAGGAGGGAGTTGCAAGAGAAATTAACAATATTTTGACTTAAATAAAAATGGAAATTCAACTTATCAAAATTTATGACGTAGTGAATGTTGTAATTGGGGAAAATTTACAGCATTAATGCATATATTAGAAAAGAAGAAAGATCTCAAATCAGTAACGTAATATTCCATCTTAAGTACACATTTTAAGAAAGAGAAGAATAATTTAAGCCTGAAGCAAGCAGAAGAAAATAAGAAATAAAAAGTAAAGCAGAAACCAATTAAAAATTGAAAATATAAAGAAAAGCAATAAAATCAAAAGCTAGGTTTAAAAAAAATTAATAGACCGGGCGCAGTGGCTCACTCCTGTAATCCTAGCACTCTGGGGGGCTGAGGTGGGCAGGTCACCTGAGGTCAGGAGTTCAAGACCAGCCTAACCAAAATGGTGAAACCTCGTTTCTACTAAAAATACAAAAATGAGCTGGACATGGTTGCTTATGGCTGTAATCCCAGCTACTTAGGAGGCTGAGGCAGGAGAATCTCTTGAACCCGGGAGGTGGAGGTTGCAGTGAGCCGAGATCATGCCATTGGACTCCAGCCTGGGTAACAAGAGCAAAACTTCGTCTCAAAAAAAAAAAATAAATGAATAAAATAAAATAAATTAATAAAAGTGGTAAACCTCTAGCCTAGCTAATTAAAAAAGACACAAGTTACCAATATTATAATTGATAATCAAATGTATTCTTATATTCTAACTTTTTTACATTGTGGTAAAAGGCTGCAGTATAAATATTGTTGACTTTTAGTAATTTCTTGAGGATGTCTTTCTCAACTAAATGTTATATCACTTCTTAAAGTGTTCCATAGATGTTTAAAATCAAGATTTATTCTGTGTTGACATGGTAGATAATTCTATATGCATATTTATACACACATATAATTTATTATATCTTTTTTATACTTGAAATGTTAACATAAATTACTACTTTTTTACTTCATATGTAATGCATTACTAATTTTACAAGTTTTTTTGCTTCTGACAGTATTATATATCTTGACATATTCATTTTATGTTTAGACTTTCATAATTCCTGTTTTTATAAACTATTTCCATTAACATAAAATGTTCTTGATTTTCCTTTGAATTGTATATTGCTATATAGTAATAATGCAAATTTTGCTTAAAACGTGAATGGTATATGAATGATACATGAAGAAAACTTATCAGTGTTTCATTTGTATTACATTCTGAAAATTTATATTGTCAGATATTATTTTGCCATAAAATAAAATTCTGTGTGATTTTTTGTTTTGCTAATAATCTCTCTTGTTCTATTATTCCAATCTAGTGGATAACTTTATGATATTTGGGCTTGTAATAGGCGATTTTGTGTTTGTTTGTTATTTTGTTTATCAACATTAATAGCATTTATCTAGGGCTTAATACAAACACCCCATTCTTAAACAATATATAAATATATAAAATAAAACAAATATTGCTCTTTCCAACTTTCACATACAATTTCGAGTGAATCTTTTGTACACATACACACTCATATGTGTATATATATACACATAAATATATATACAACACACATCCATAGATATAGGTATAATTGTGTAATTTTTAATGTAACATGCAAAATATATCTTTCTGACCCACATGGTAAATCAAGAACCCACATTATTTTTTGATTCTTTATCTCCTTTCAACATTTACATGGTTGCTGCTGTTGCTGCCATTCCTCAGATCCTGCCAACAATAGGCCGTACGAGGTGGAGAGAGCATGGAGGTGGCAGGACAATCTTAAAGCCTCCATTCTAGAAGTAGCATTCATCACTTCTGCTCACTTTCAATTAGTAAGAAAGAGTCATATTAAGGAGGTTGAGAAAGGGAAAACAGTTGGAAAGCCATGTGTCTGTCTACAGTTTGATTACTGTAGAAGAAAAGTAGAACACTTTTAAGTGAAAGGCCATGAGTATCTTCACATTCGTTTATATATTTATAAGTGCATGTGCATGAATATATATTTGGGACATAATTTAGAGATGTAATTAACAGGTCAAAATATGCATTTGGAAGTGGCACAGACACTGCTGAGTTGGCCTCAAACTATTTTTTATCTAATTACAATGGCATTAATATTGATTGATTCACCATTCAACACATGTGATGGTTAATTTTATATGCTAACTTGACTAGGCTAAGGAATACCCAGATACCTTCCAAAACATTATTTCTGGGTGGGTCTGTGAGACTGTTTCTGGAAGAGCTTATAATTTGAATCAGTAGACTGAGTAAGGAAGATCCACTCTTTCTGTGTAGTCTAGCATCATCCAATTCATTGAGGGCCCAAATAGAACAAAAATGTGGAGGAAGGGTGAATTCTCTCTCTCTCCTGGAGCTGAGACATTCATCTTCACCTATCCTTGGACATGGGAGCTCTGGTTCTTAGGCCTTCATACTCAAGCTGAATTATTGTATCAACTTATCTCGTTCTCCAGCTTGCAGATAGCATATTGTATGACTTCTAAGAGTCCATATTGCATAAGCCAATTCGCATAATAAATCGCATCTTATATGTCTATATATATGCCATTGTTTCTATTTCTCTGGAGAACCCACATCTTAATCAGCATTGGATACTGTCAATACTTTGACAATTATTTTACAATCTGACTATTGTATTTTAAATTTTGTATTTGCCTTTCTCTTATTATTACTAAGTTTGCCCCTTTCCTAATAGGTTTTGGCCACTAAAATTTCTTTTTCTATCAATTTCTTGTTTATATTTTTTAAGTTTTAAAATACCAGATTGGATGCTAAGAATGTATGCAAACTTGTTAAAACTATCTTTTATTAAAAATAAGGACATTTTCAAAATTACCCACCTTTTTTCTCCTCTACTCACCTCCAAATTTCTGTTAGCACTACTGGAATTTTTGATCTAAGGACTCATAATTAAGTAATCATTTTTTATTTTATGTGGTTTTTCTTCTAAAATTTATTTTTCTATTAAGCATATATACAAGTATTATTTCTAATTACTTTATACTTAAATAGTCTCAATCTCATTAACAATCATGGTATACTATGACTTATCAATACATAAAATGTTTATTTTGTAACTTTCATCCAGCTTTAGTGTTTTTTATGAAATATTGCTGGAAGGAAAACAGTGACAGGTCTTCTGAGTTATGTTACATCTAAAATGGCTTTTATGGGGGTTATAACTAAAAAAATTCAATTGGTTTTGTCAAGAATGATAAAGAATCTAAGATTTTACCCTTTCTGAAAGCTGACAAGTTAGGCTAGTCAGACTGGTGAAGTTTCCCAAATGCTGGTAAAACACACAATACCCCTGGGTCAAAAAAAAAAAAAGACCTTTATTACTCACAGAAATTAGAGTATCATAATTTTCTTGTACTGTTCCAGAGACCAAATTCTCATAACACACAGAAGAGAGGGCCAGGTAACTCTTGCATATGCAATAGATTGTATTATAGGAGAAGAGCAATGAATTTAGAAAGCCAAAATCTTTTAATGTGGAAAATGTGCAAACTGCCTTTTGCTCCAAAGGGAGACAATATTTCTATCTCTCAAAGCTGTTCACTACACAACCATCCTTGAAAAAATAGTCTGCAACAAAAGCAGTCAGTGGAGAAAATTATCCAGTGCTACATGTTTAATGTGAGTCCTAAGCAAGCCATAATTTTCTTCCTTTATAAATAACATTATTTCTTGTCATGATGCTTTTGGGATAGTTTTAAGCATTCTACATTTCACCAACCTATATCTAGGTATTAGTAACTTCTAATTAATTTTATCTAAATTTATAAATACTTGGAATTAAATAATTTATATCATTGTTTTCTCCTTTTGTATTAGTCCATTCTCATGCTGCTATGAAGAAATCCCTGAGACTGGGTAATTCATAAAGAAAAGAGGTTTAATTGGTTCAGAGTTCCACATGGCTGGGAGGCCTCAGGAAACAATCACAGTGGAAGAATCTCTTTACAGGGCAGCAGGAGAGAGAATGAGTGCCAGCAGTGAAAATGCCAGAGGCTTATAAAACCATCAGATCTCATGAGAACTCACTCACCATCACAAGAACAGCATGAGGGAAACTGCTCCTGTGATTCAATTTCTTCCACCTGGTTCCCCCCTTGACACATGGGGATTATTACAATTCAAGGTGAGATTTAGGTGGGGACACAGAGCCAAACCATATCATTCAACCCCTGGCCCCTCCCAAATCTCATATCCTCACATTTCAAAATACAATCATGCCCTTCCAACAGACCCCCAAAGTCTTAACTCTTTCCAGCATTAACCCAAAAGTCAAAGTCCAAAGTCTCATCTGAGACAAGGCTAGTTCCTCTCGTCTATGAGCCTGTAAAATCAAAAGCAAGTTAGTTACTCCCTAGATACAGTGGAGGTACAGGCATTGAGTAAATACACCCATTCCAAATGGGAGAAATTGGCCAAAACAAAAGGGCTACAGGCTTGATAAAAGTCTGAAATCCAACAGGGCAGTCATTAAGCCTTACATTTCCAAAATGATCTCATTTGACTCCATGCCTCATGTCCAGGTTATGTTGATGCAAGAGGTGGTCTCCCATGGCATTGGGCAGCTCCAGCCTTGTGGCTTGGCAGGGTACAGCCCGCCTCCTGGCTGCTTTCACAAGCTGGTGTTGAGTGCCTGCAGCTTTTCCAGGCACATAGTGCAAGCTGTCCATGGATATACCATTCTGGGGCCTGAAGGATGGTGACCATCTTCTCACAGCACCACTAGGCAGTGACCTACTGGTGACTCCATGTAGGGGCTTCAACCCTACGTTTCCCTTCTGCACTGCCCTAGCAGAGGTTCTCCATGAGGGCTCCACCCCTGCAGCAAACTTGTGCAGGGACATCTGGGTGTTTCCATACATCCTCTGAAACCTAGGTGGAGATTCCCAAACTTCAATTCTTGACTTCTGTGCACCCACAGAGTCAACACCATGTGGAAGCCACCAAGGCTTGGGGCTTATACCCTCTGAAGTAATAGCCTGAGTTGTACCTTGGCCCCTTTTAGCCATGGCTGGAGCTGAAGCACTCACTATCATGAGAACAACATAGGAGAAACTGCCCTCATGATTAAATTACCTCCACTTAGTCTTTGACACATGGGGATTTTTACAATTCAAGTGAGATTTTGGTGGGGCACAGAGCCAAACCATATCACCTTTTATTCTGGTATGATTTTTTAGATGCTTCTTTTTTTGAAACCTACATCAGACATTATATTCTTTGTCTTCCAAGTCTTCCTTAGTCCCTTTTATTGTTTCTATAATGTTATTATTTTTCTTTTCATATTATTAGAGAGTTTCAAAAATTTCCCCACACATTACTGATTCAGTTCTCTGAAAAATCTTGAAGCTTTATATTGTTCAATCCCATGCTAGGAGTAATGTTTCTTTTTCTTTCCTTTTTTTTTTCTTTTTTGAGACAGAGTTTCACTCTTGTCACCTGGCTGGAGTGTAATGGTGCTATCTCAGCTCAATGCAACCTCCAATTCCTGGATTCAAGTGATTCTCTTGCCTCAGCCTCCCAAGTAGCTGGGATTACAGGTGCCTGCCACCATACCCAGCTAATTTTTGTGTTTTTAGTAGAGATGGGGTTTCATCATGTTGGCAAGGCTTGTCTCAAACTCCTGATCTCAGATGATCTTGCCACCTTGGCCTCCCAAAGTGCTGGGATTACAGGCGTGTGCCACTGCACTCGGCCAAATGTTTCTGATGCCCTAAATTTCTCTGCTTAAGAAACTTGCCACACAAACCTAGCATTTCTGAACTTTCAAATATTGCTACTTGTTAGTGATATTGGAGTATAACATCTGATTATTGTCTATTTCTTAAGAGTGAATTTTGAGTGGACTCTAAGTGGTACATTTAGTTTGATCCTCTCTCCCACCCATATATCTACTTTTTAAAAACCTATCAAATTCTAATTTATTGCCCTAAATTTCTTGTAACATTAGGCATTCTTTCCTATCTCCACAATTTTAAAACGTTAGTCATTATTTTAATGGATACCTGTTTGGGGAAAATGGTGAGGAGGCAGGCAGAATTGAGATATAATATGAAAGTTAATTAAAATATTTGAATTATAAAAACAAATGAAAAACCAAGCCAATTTCAAACTTCTCACTAATAGTAATTCTCAGAAAGAAATGAACCTTTGTAGCAGCACTACAGTGGTGTGTAAGAACATGGGCTCTGCTATAAAATCTCAATCCAAATCCTACAAGTTATTAGCTTTATGACCTCAGATGAGCTATGTATTCTTTCTATGTGGCATCACCAATAAATTAGGACAATTATTAATACCTGCCTCACTGGATGAAAGAGTAGCTTAAATGATACTAAATACATAGACCACATAGCACAACACATCATAAATACCATGTCTTATTAAATATAAGATTTCAAGGGTGGTAAGGCACACCATTATTTTATCTACTACTAGTAAGACACAAAAGACTGCCAATTAAGCAGTGACATATGTCTTAATGATAATCCTGAGTGACAATCCATCACACCAGCTTCTCATTTGCTTTGAAATTAATTTAACCTACACCAAGGTTTTGGCAGTTTCTTATGTTTTCAATTGCATTCCTCTGAATGTTATAGGCAATATTTGTTCACATGTACCTATAAAATAAATAATTAATCGCGTGAGTCCTCTAGGGTTTTGTCCTTTCTTTGATAACATAAATCATGTTGTTTAATCGTTCCAAAAATACAAAAGAAGTATAATCATTCTTCCAACAATGAATGTGCCTGGATTTACATCAAATTATGTCTTTCTTCTGATCTATGACATTTTTATTTTCAACATCTATATATTTAACTAATGAAATGTGTAATTATTTAGAAGGCATTTTATATGGCATTTAAACTCAATATATACAATAACATCAATGCATATACTTAATTAAAATTATGACAAAAAATTGTGACCAAATTTGTGCATGTGTAACAAAACTGTCATAACTGTGCCACCCCAAATTGATTGTGTGAAGCTATTAATTACAAGTTTCATCAAAATTTCAGAGATATTCAAATATGAAAGAATGTACATTTTAAAATTGGTGGAATATTCTCAGTAAATATCAATTTGTATTATTGCAGATCATTGAGAGTGAAAGTTTGTGTTCATAAATATCCTGTACTCATTAAAATTTGTATCTTTTTGAAAAGCATCAGAAATATGTTCTGATGAGCAAAAACTCAAAAAGTGTACCTAGCACATACCAGTTTTTATGAAACAGATTACCTGAAAATTATAATCTAGGATAAAACAACTGTGGTACAGCCATACAATGGAACATTATTTAATAATAAAAGAAGAGATATCAATCCGCATGAAAAGACATGGTTGAACCATAAATGCACATTGCTAACTGAAAGAAGCCAGTATGAAACAGTGGCATACTGTGTGATTCCAATTAAGTGTCCTGGAAAAGGTAACAAACAGTGAAAGTGGAAAGATCAGTGGTTACCAAGGGAGCAAGGTGAGGAAATTTGATTAGATAAAGCATAGGCTATTTCTTCACGGCAGTGAAACAGTTCTTTATACTACTGTAGTAGTGGATACATGGTATTATGTATTTATGAAAATTGATAGAATGCTACAGTACAAATGATGAAAATAAAATATTTAGGGGGTCAAGGATCTCAGGAAGGAATGCATACTGTGATTAGAAAACCCTCCTGTATTGCAAATTTGTGAAATAATCTCACTACAGAGGATAAGTTGAAAGGTCTTGACGTAAGTAACTTTGAAAATGAGTGGAGTCTACACAACTAAAGACAAAAGGAACTGTGCATAAGTACTCTACTGTAGTTGATAAAATTGTTTCCCATAATGGTATTGGTTAATTCTCATATTGCTACACATGTATGTGGAATTGAAAAATCAATAAAATGGATCATGGATCGTGGAAGCCTGATTTCTTACTGTTGCAGCAGAAATTTACAGATAAGCAAGGGGAGGAGCCTCTAGAATTATCCATGTGGTAATGAGTTAGAGCTGGAAACATCAGTATAAACTCATATAAAGTTTAATATTGATATTGATGGTTCCATACAGAAATACTTATAAATGCCCAGGCCTTTTCAAAACTGCCAAGCAGATAGTCAGGGCCTGTGAAGTGTGCCAAACAAACAATTCCCTGCACTGCAGGCTGTACATTTCAATCCCTGTATCTTTAACCTCCTTATTAAATTTGTCTCTTCCAGAATCAAAGCTGTAAAACTACGAATGGTTCTTCAAATGGAGCCCCAGATGCAGTCCACAACTAAAATCTACTGTGGTCCCTTGGACCGGCCTGCTAGCCCATGCTCCGATGTTGATGACATCGAAGTCACCCCTCCTGAGGAAATCTCAACTGCACAACCCCTGCTACACCCCAATTCAGCAGGAAGCAGTTAGAGCAGTCATTAGCCAACCTCTCCAACAGCACTTGGGTTTTCCTGTTGAGGAGGGGACTGAGAGACAGGACTAGCTGGATTTCCTAGGCTGACTAAGAATCCCTAAGCCTAGCTGGGAAGGTGACCATGTCCAGCTTTAAACATGGGGCTTGCAACTTAGTTCACATCTGACCAATCAGAGAGCTCACTAAAACGCTAATTAGGCAAAAACAGGAGGTAAAGAAATAGCCAATCATCTATTGCCTGAGAGCACCAAAGGAGGGACAACGATCAGATATAAACCCAGGCATTCAAGCCAGCAACGGCAACCCCTTTGGGTCCCCTCCCTTTGTATGGGAGCTCTGTTTTCACTCTATTAAATCTTGCAACTGCACTCTTCTGGTCCATGTTTGTTACAGCTTGAGCTGAGTTTCACTTGCCATCCACCACTGCTGTTGGCCGCTGTTGCAGACCCGCCACTGACTTCCATCCCTCCAGATCCAAAAGGGTGTCTGCTGTGCTTCTGATCCAGTGAGGTGTCCATTGCCACTCCCAATCGGGCTAAAGGCTTGCCATTGTTCCTGCACGGCTAAGTGCCCGGGTTCATCCTAATCAAGCAGAACACTGGTCACTGGGTTCCATGGCTCTCTTCTGTGACCCACAGCTTCTAATAGAGCTATAGCACTCACCACATGGCCCAAGATTACATTCCTTGGAATCCTTGAGGCCAAGAACCCCAGGTCAGAAAAGATGAGGCTTGCCACCATCTTGGAAGTGGCCTGCTGCCATCTTGGAAGCAGCCCACCACCATCTTGAGAGCTCTGGGAGAAAGGACCCCCCGATTACAGAATGATTAAATAAAGCTGATTAACATATCCATCATCCAGCTCACCTTTGTGGTGGGACATTTGAAATTTATGCTTAGCAATTTTGAAATATATGATACATTATTATTTACTATAGCCACCATACTGTGCAATAGATCTCAAAACTTTATTCCTCCTAATGAAAACTTTGTACCCTTTGAACAGCATCTCCCTGTCTGCTGTACCCCCCAACACACCCCAGCCTCTCATAACCCCTTTTCTACCCGTTATTTATATAAATTTGGCTTTTTTAGATTCCAAAATAAAAGAAAAAGAAAAACTTATAAAGGTGTGTGTATACACAATTTGTATATACAGAGAAATAATTGATCCTAAGGCTGAGGTTGGAAATATATAACATGAACCTGGAGCATCTTATAGTTCCATAATGTAAAGAAGCTGTGAGAAAATAATTAAATCATTGGAGGTGTGGAAAGGGACACAGGAGACAACTGAAAGAGCTCCCACTAGCCAAACCTGAAGTAATTTGAGAAACTGAAATAAATAAAATAATACTGGATTATAAACCAAAGTATGAGGTAAATATCCATGAGCCCATACTGATGTAAACAAATGATTGAATAAATATATAAATTGGGAAAGCATTCAACGATCTTCCTTGCAGAATATTAATTTATGTAGATAGTCTTCTCTCAAAAAGGGGAAGCATAAATCCTCACCACTTAAGTATAGGCTACACATAATGAAAAAAGAATGAGAAGCTTTACAAATACTTTACAAACCTGATAAATGCGACCTCAACCAGGTATTAAGGGTCAACATGAACAGTGATAAAATGTTCATAGCACATAGTTGCAATGGTTAGTTTTATGTGTCAATTTGGCTAGGCTATAGTACCCGGTTGTTTAAGTAAATACTAATGTAACCATTGTTGTGAAGGTATTTTATAGATGAGGTTAACATCTACAACTAGTTAACCTTAAGGAAAAGAGATTAACCTCAATAAAATGAGTGGCCCTCATCCTATCCGTGGAAGGTCTGAAGAGCAAAAACTGAGGTATTTCAGAGAAGAAATTATGCCTCAAGAGTGCAGCGTCAACTCCTTTTTGAGTTTTCATTCTGCCAAGCTGTCCTTCAGACTTGATACTCACAAGTCCCCACAATTGTGTGATCCAATTCCTTAAAATACATCTCTTCACACAGATTATGTAAGTCGTTTCTCTGCAGACACTAATTGATACAGTGCACTTGATAAGATGTGGTAAAAATGGTACTTTTACCTCTGTGATCTTCCTTCCCAAATCAATAACTCTATTTGAGCCATTAGAACAAAAATCAAACAAATTCCAAAAGAGGGGTATCTTACAAAATACATGGCCAGTACTCCTCAAACTGTCATGCTCATAGTTATGGTTCGAGTATACCCTCCCAAACTCACACTAAAATGTAATATTCATTGTAGCAGCATTAAGAGGTGGGAACTTTAAGAGGTAATTAGGCCATGAGGGCTTTACTTTCATGAATTAATTTGTGCTGTTATTGTGGGATTAGGTTAGTTGTAATGGGAGTGCATTCTTGATAAAAAGGATGAGTTTGGGTCTGATTTGCTCTTTATCTCTTGTGCTCCCTTCTATCTTCTTCCTTCTGCCTTCTGCCATGGGATAATGCATGAATGCTCTCACCAGATACTAGTGCAATGTTCTTGGACTTTCCAGCCTCCAGAATTATGAGCCAAATAACTTATTTTCTTTGTAAATCACCCAATATGTGGTATTGTGTTATATTATAGCAGCAGAAAATAGACTAATACAATTATCATAAACAGGGAAAGTCTGTGAAACTGCCATAGCCAAGAGGAGCCTAACAAGACATGACAAGTTAATGCAATGTAGTATCCCGGATGGGATGTTGGAACAAAGACAGGCATTAGGCAAAACTGAGGAAATACCAAGTATGAAATTTAATTAACAATGATGTATCAGTATTGTTTTGTTGTTGTTGTTGTTGTTGTTTGTTTTTTCAGAGACAGAGAGACTCTATTGTCCAGGATGGAGTGCAGTGGCACAGTCATAGCTCACTGTAACCTCAAATTCCTGGGCTCAAACAATCCTCTTGCCTGAGCCCACTGAGTAGCTGGGACTACAAGCATGTGCCACCATGCTCAGCTAATTTTTTTAAAATTACTTTTTATAGTAATGGGGGTCTCATTAAGTTGCCCAGGCTGGTCATGAACTCCTGGTCTCACACAATCCTCCCACTTCAGCCTCCCAAATTGCTGGGATTACAGGCATGAACCCTTGCACTTGGCCTGTGTTGGTTATTAATTGTAACAAATGTACCATACTAATGTAAAATGTTAATAAAAGGAAAAACTGGCTTTGGGGGCATATCAAATTTCTGTGTGCTATCTTTGCAATTTTTTCATAAATTTAAAACCATTCTAAAAAATAGTCTATTATTATAGTAGTTTTGAGAGTGGCAAGACTATGGAAAGCAAGCCAATTATCTGCTTCAGACTGTTGAGTTCTCCAAAGTAGAAGGCCCAGGGTGATATTATTTTCACTCTGTTTAATTTATTTTTAGTTTTCACCATTCTTGTTTTTTTTGTTGTTCTTTTTCTTTATGAGTTAAAGTTTGAAATACATAAATATTGACTATTATTTCATATTTATGCTGTTTATAAGTGTAGTCTTAAGCAAATGATTGTAATAGCTACAAAAGAATGTAATGATAGCAGATAAACAGCTATATTGTAAAGTAACAATTGAAGGTAATGTAATTTATTAGCTAGTGTTATGATAGCTAATGTTGCCTATTAAAGTAATTTTGTCAATTTTAATAGAATCTGATGCTGTCTTAGCATCAATTAGTATCACCTTGTGCTCAGGAATGTATGAAAACTTGCTATTCAGATAAATGTTAATTATATTTTTCTAATTTTGAAAATTTTTTGTATAATATGTTAGTAATTTACTAACATAAGACAGGGAAAATAGGGACAACATGGTTACCAGTTTCCTGTTCAAAGATATGGACGTCACTGCCCCATCCTAAAAAAAAAGGGCTTGTCCAGAGGAGGAATGAATAGTGTGGGCAGGTCATACATTTTTTTTCATTGCAATACCTCAAGTACATGAGCCAAAACTTCTTCAGGTAGAGTATTGAGTTCACTACTCAGCTTTCATTCTCCCAACAAGGGAAAAAGACCACAACTAAGTTGGGTGATAAAATGTTAATTCTTCAAAGCTGTGCCTAGTGTAACATCTACTAGTTAGTAATCATTTGATAACTATGTTTTGAATGATTGGTTGCTGCCTAATATTTTATGTACAGAATTTGGAGTGGGAAGAAAAGAGTTTTTTGCTTATGGGTCACTGAGGACTGAGTTCTATCCTGGAATATAGGACTTTACTCTTTGTTCCTAGTCATCTTAGCCAATTTCCCTTAATGACTATAACAAATAAAATAATCACTTATTTATTTTCTCTGGAAGAAAAAATTAATAAATCGAACAAAAATAGTATTAAATAGTGTCCATATGAAATGTGTGTGCTCTGATAAAGGCTGGCCTTTGCTTTACGTCCAATGAGCTACTCTTTATGTTCTTCTCATAATTTGCTTCACTAGGAAAGAAAGGAATCTCCATGGTTTCCTAATACCTATCACAGAAAATAGCAAAGAGTAGCAGGGGCTCCTATAACCAAATAGCATGTAAATCAATACCCCTGTAATTCTGATTTTTCTACAATTAATATTTATTTTATGTATAATCATAGAGAAAGTAAAGTATATATTCACTGAAAAAGGCCCCTATATATCAGGCCAAACATCGCCACTTGGAACTACGTTGAGCTAAATATATTAGAAGGTTTCACTAAATATCGGCCTGGATAATATAACTAACCTGGAACTTTAATATGAAATGCACATGGACTCATGTTTCATCTAGTCCTATTTGTATAAGAAATGATTAAATTTAGTATTTTAAAATTCAAATGTTATTTCTATGCTTAGTCTTCTCTTAAAGATAGAAAATATAATAAATTGGAAAACTTTCATCTTTAACTTAAAATTGAGATTACAATAGGAAATGCAAAATTACAGAACCAAGACTTACTATTTATCTCAGTCAAAATAGAGCTGATTTATGCAAAGTATGGCGTATTTTAAAGTTTAGACTTATGGTTAGAAGACATAAATGTTAAAAGTCTTTCAACTATTTGCAGTTTAGTCACCTTGAGTGTATCTCTTATTTTCTTTAGCCCTTGGTCTCTTATCGCAAAACCAGGACAATAGTAACAACCCCAAAAGCTTATTATAAGGACTATAGAGAGGGCTTTAAAAATAAAATGTTTAGTGAACAATATGTCTGAGAAGAGGAACAGACTGTACTGAAGGAGAAAAATGCACAAAATTCAGCTTTATAGAGTTAAACAATGGGATTCAGAGAGATGGATATTGATCACAAAGACTGGTGGAGAAACAACGGAAAATAGGAAACCATAGAATGATAGATTTCTTGCCACCTTAAGAGTGGGATGAGCAAAGAACACAGTTGGAGTTTGCTATAATGAAGTAGAAATTCAAGAAAACTAAACCATGCACATGCCGTGGTTACCGTGGCTATAAACTCCCCTACTACAGAAATGATATTATTGTTAATAAAAAAATGTTAATACATTAGGGATGGAGCAATGAGTTGTTTAACTAATCCCACCTTGAGCAAAGAAAATCTGGAGGGTTTTATGCAATTAGGATAAGATCTTGAGGAAAAACATTTGTGTTATGTACTGCATATAAAAGAGTGAAGCTAGGCCCATGTGCTCAAGGCACAGCATACCTGTCATGTCTCCTAATGACTGCCCATCTGTGGTATAGATGATAAACTGGTTGTGTATCTATGTTGTTTGCCCCGCCCTGTCTGTTGGCACTGCCACTCGAAAGGAAACTCTAAAAATGTATGATAATAAAATGCTACTAAGGATGCTTTATTAATTTCATTGTTCATTATTAGTATTACTTATATTAATAATATAATTACTAGTATTATTAATATAATAAATTTTTAAATCTTTTTTATTGGACAAAACTCTTCCAAGCCAAAGTTCAAGGCTATGAAAAAGCATGCCATTCCTCATTGGTAGTGTTGCTAGCAATTCACCCTGGTTTCTCATAACACCCAGGGCTGATAACTACAATGCCCATACTGAATGGCAAACACCCCATTATCTAAATATTTCTGTCTACCTTTGCCTTTGGAATACACTTAGTTCCTCTCACTCAAGACCTGAAAGTATGGGGTAGCTAACTGATAAACCAGTGAAAAAGCATAATTACATAAATATATGGCCTTTATCAAGGATTTTTCATACGTTTTAATAAAGCCTTTTGAGCTTCCATGACAGGTGGAGGGTAAGAATGACTGGCTGGAGAGGGCGCTTCCAAGATGGCCAAATAGGAACAGCTCTGGTCTGCAGCTCCCAGCGAGACAGCATTTTTTCTGCATTTTCAACTGAGGTACCTGGTTCATCTCATTGGGACTGGTGGAACAGTTGGTGCAGCCCACTGAGGGCAAGCTGAAGCAGGGCAGGGGCATTGCCTCACCCAGGAAGCCAAAGGGTCAGGGAATTTCCCTTTCCTAGTCAAGGAAAGCTGTGACAGACTGTACCTGGAGAAACAGTACACTCATGACCAAATCTGCACTTTTCCCATGGTCTTCACAACCAGCAGACCAGGAGATACCCTTCCTTGCCCTCCCATGCCCATGGAGGCTTGCTCACTGCTAGCACAGCAGTCTGAGATCAACCTGTGATGCTGCAGCTTGATGGATGGAAGAGTGTCCACCATTGCTGAAGCTTGAGTACCTCATAGTGTAAACAAAGTGTAAACTGGGTGGAGCCCACCGCAGCTCAGCAAGGCCTACTGCGTCTCCAGATTCCACCTCTGGGGGCAGGGCATAGCAGAACAAAAGGCAGCACACAGCTTCTACAGACTTAAATGTCCCTGTCTGACAGCTCTGAAGAGAGCAGTGGTTCTCTCAGCAAGATGTTCGAGCTCCGAGAATGGACAGACTGCCTCCTCAAGCGGGTCCCTGACCCCCATGTAGCCTGACTGGGAGACACCTCCAGTAGGGGCCAACAAACACCTCAAACAGGTGGATGCCTCTCTGGGACGAAGCTTCCAGAATAAGGATCAGGCAGCAATATTTGCTGTTCTGCAGCCTCTGCTGGTGATACCCAGGCAAACAGGGTCTGGAGTGGACCTCCAGCAAACTCCAACAGACCTGCAGCTGAGGGGCCTGACTGTTAGAAGGAAAACTAACAAACCAAAAGAAATGGCATCAACATCAACAAAAAAGACACCACACCAAAACCCCACCTGTAGGTCACCAACATCAAAGAACAAAGGTAGATAAAACCACAAAGATGGGGAGAAACCAGAGCAGAAAAGCTGAAAATTCCAAAACTGAGAGCCTCTTCTCCCCCAAAGGACCACAGCTCCTCACCAGCAATGGAACAAAACTGGATGGAGAATGAGTTTGACGAGTTGACAGAAGTAGGTTTCAGAAGGTTGGTAATAACAAATTTCTCCAAGGCACAAGGAAGCTAAAAACCTTGAAAAAAGTCTAGATGAATGGTTAACTAGAATAAACAGTGTAGAGAAGATCTTAAATGACCTGATGGAACTGATAACCACAGCACAAGAACTTCGTGACTCATGCACAAGCTTCAACACCCAATTGGATCAAGTGGAAGAGAGGATATCAGTGATTGAAGATCAAATTAATGAAATATAGCAAGAAGACAAGATTAGAGAAAAAAGACTGACAAGAAACAAACAAAGCCTCCAAGAAATATGGGACTATGTGAAAAGACCAAACATACAGTTGACTGGTGTACCAGAAAGTGACAGGGAGAATGTAACCAAGCTAGAAAACACTCTTCGGGATATTATCCAGGAGAACTTCCCTAACCTAGCAAAGCAGGCCAACATTCAAATTCAGGAAATGTAGAGAACACCACAAAGATACTCCTCAAGAAGACCAACCCCAAGACACAAAATTGTTAGATTCACCAAAGTTGAAATGAAGGAAAAAATATTAAGGGCAGCCAGAGAGAAAGGTCGGGTTACTCATAAAGGGAAGCCCATCAGACTAACAGCGGATCTCTTGGAAGAAACCCGACAAGCCAGAAGAGAGTGGGGGACAATATTCAACATTCTTAAAGAAAATAATTTATTTGTTTTTCTTTTTTATTATACTTTAAGTTCTAGGGAACATGTGCACAACGTGAAGGTTTGTTACATATGTATACATGTGCCATGTTGGCGTGCTGCACCCATTAACTCATCATTACATTAGGTTTGTCTCCTAATGCTATCCCTCCCCCCTATCCCCACCCCACGACAGGCCCAGGTGTGTGATATTCCCCACCCTGTGTCCAAGTGTTCTCATTGTTCAATTCCCACCTATGAGTGAGAACACTGGGTGTTTGGTTTTCTATCCTTGTGATGGTTGGCTCAGAATGATGGTTTCCAGCTTCATCCATGTCCCTACAAAGGACATGAACTCATACTTTCTTATGGCTGCATAGTGTTCCATGGTGTATATGTGCCACATTTTCTTAATCCAGTCTATCATTGATGGACATTTGGGTTGGTTCCAAGTCTTTGCTATTGTGAATAGTGCCACAATAAACATATGTGTGCATGTGTCCTTACAGCAGCATGATTTATAATCCTTTGGGTATATACCCAGCAAATGATATATACCCAGCAAATGACTGGGTCAAATGGTATTTCTAGTTCTAAATCCTTGAGAAATCATCACACTGTCTTCCACAATGGTTGAACTAGTTTACAGTCCCACCAACAGTGTAAAAGTGTTCCTACTGGCCGAATGCGGTGGCTCACACCTGTAATCCCAGTACTTTGAGAGGCTGAGGCAGGAGGATCACAAGGTCAGGAGATCGAGACCATCCTGGCTAATGTGGTGAAACCCTGTCTCTACTAAAAATACAAAAAATTAGCGAGGCTTGGTGGCAGGCGCCTGTAATCCCAGCTACTCGGGAGGCTGAGGCAGGAGAATGGTGTGACCCCAGGAGATGGAGCTTGCAATGAGCCAAGATGGTGCCACTGCACTCCAGCCTGGGTGACAGAGCAAGACACTGTCTCAAAAAAAAAAAAAAAAAAAAGCAGGGGTTGCAATCCTAGACTCTGATAAAACAGGCTTTAATCCAACAAAGATCAAAAGAGACAAAGAAGGCCACTACATAATGGTAAAGGGATCAATTCAACAAGAAGAGGTAACTATCCTAAATATATGTGCACCCAATACAGGAGCACACAGATTCATAAAGCAAGTCCTGAGAGACTTACAAAGAGACTTAGATTCCCACACAATAATAATGGGAGACTTTAACACCCCACTGTCAATATTAGACAGATCAATGAGACAGAGGCTTAACAAGGATATCCAGGACTTGAACTCAGCTCTGGAACAAGTGGACCTCTAAAGAACACTACACCCCAAATCAACAGAATATACATTCTTCTCAGCACCACATCACACTTATTCCAAAATTGACTGCATAATTGGAAGTAAAACACTCCTCAGCAAATGTAAAAGAACAGAAATCACAACAAACTGTCTCTCAGACCACAGTGCAATCAAACTAGAACTCAGGATTAACAAACTCACTCAAAATAGGACAACTACATGGAAACTGAACAACGTGCTCCTGAATGACTACTGGGTAAATAATGAAATGAAGGCAGACATAAAGATGTTCTTTGAAAACAATGAGAACAAAGGCACAATGTACCAGAATCTCTGGGACACATTTAAAGCAGTGTGTAGGGGGAAATTTATACCACTAAATGCCCACAAGAGAAAGCAAGAAAGATCTAAAATCAACACCCTAACATCACAATTAAAAGAACTAGAGAAGCAAGAGAAAACAAATTCAAAAGCTAGCAGAAGGCAAGAAATAACTAAGATCAGAGCAGAACTGAAGGGGATAGAGACACAAAAAACTCTCAAAAAATCAATGAATCCAGGAGCTATTTTTTTGAAAAGATCAACATAATAGACCATTAGCAGGACTAATAAAGAAGAAAAGAGAGAAGAATCAAATAGATGCAATAAAAAATGATAAAGGGAATATCACCACCAATCCCACAGAAATACAAACTATTATCAGACAATACTATAAACGCCTCTAGGCAAATAAACTAGAAAATCTAGAAGAAATGAATAAATTCCTGGACACATACACCCTCCTAAGACAAACCAGACCCTCCTAAGACCATACAACTTCTCCTAACCAGGAAGAAGTTGAATCTCTGAATAGACCAATAACAGGTTCTGAAATTGAGGCAATAATTAATAGCCTACCAACCAAAAAAAAAAATCCAGGACCAGACGGATTCACAAATTCTACCAGAGGTACAAAGAGGAGCTGGTACCATTCCTTCGGAAACTATTCCAATCAATAGAAAAAGAAGGAATACTCCCTAATTCATTTTACGAGGCCAGCATCATCCTGATACCAAAGTCTGGCAGAGAAACAACAAAAAAAGAGAATTTTAGGCCACTATCCCTGATGAACATCGATGCAAAAATCCTCAACAAAATACTGGCAAACTGAATCTGGCAGCACATCAAAAAGCTTATCCACCCCGATCAAGCTGGCTTCATCCCTGGGATGCAAGGCTGGTTCAACATACACAAATCAATAAACATAATCCATCACATAAACAGAACCAGCGACAAAAACTACATGATTGTCTCAATAGATGCAGAAAAGGCCTTCAACAAAATTCAACAGCCCTTCATGCTAAAAACTCTCAATAAACTAGGTATTGATGGAATGTATCTCAAAATAATAAGAGCTGTGTGTGACAAACCCACAGCCAATATCATACCAATGGGCAAAAACTGGAAGCATTTCCTTTGAAAACCAGCACAAGAAAAGGATGTCTTCTCTCACCACTCCTATTCAACATAGTGTTGGAAGTTCTGGCTAGGGCAATCAAGAAAGAGAAAGAAATAAAGGGTATTCACTTAGGAAAACAGGAAGTCAAATTGTCTCTGTTTGCAGATGACATAATTGTATATTTAGAAAACCCCATCATCTCAGCCCAATATCTCCTTAAGCTGATAAGCACATTTAGCAAAGTCTCAGGATACAAAATCAATGTGCAAAAATCACAAGCATTCCTGTACACAAACAATAGACAAACAGAGAACCAAATCATGAATGAACTCCCATTCACAATTACTACAAAGAGAATAAAATACTTAGGAATCCAACTTACAAGGGATGTGAAGAACCTCTTCAAGGAGGGCTAAAACCAGTGCTCAACGAAATAAGAGGACACAAACAAATGGAAGAACATTCCAATCTCATGGATAGGAAGAATCAATATCATGAAAATGGTCATACTGCCCAAGATAACTTATAGATTCAATGCCCTTTCCATCAAGCTACCAATGACTTTCTTCACAGAATTGGAAAAAACTACTCTAAAGTTCATATGGAACCAAAACAGGGCCCGCATAGCCAAGACAATCCTAAGCAAAAAGAACAAAGCTGGAGGCATCATGCTACCTGACTTCAAACTATACTACAATGCTACAGTAACCAAAACAGCACGGTACTGGTACCAAAACAGATATATAGACCAATAGAACAGAAGAGAAGCCTAAAAAAAATCTCCAACCATCTGATCTTTGACAAACTGGACAAAAACAAGCAAGAGGGAAAGGATTCCCTGTTTAATAAATGGTGCTGGGAAAACTGGTTAGCCATATGTAGAAACCCAAAACTGGATCCCTTCCTTACATCATACACAAAAGTTAACTCAAGATGGATTAAAGACTTAAATGTAAGACCTAACACCATAAAAACCCTAGAAGAAAACCTAGGCAATACCATTCAGGACATAGGCCTGGGCAAAGACTTCATGACTAAAACACCAAAAGTAATGACAACAAAAGCCAAAATAGACAAATGGTGTCTAATTAAACTAAAGATCTTCTGCACAGCAAATGAAACTATCATTACAGTGAACAGGCAACCTACAGAATGGGAGAAAATTTTTGCAATCTCTCCATCTGTAAAAGGGCTAATATCCAGAATCTGCAATGAACTTAAACAAATTTACAAGAAAAAGACAAACAACCCCATCAAAAAGTGGGCAAAAGATATGAACAGACACTTCTCAAAAGAAGACATTTATGCAGCCAACAGGCATATGAAAAAATGCTCATCATCACTGGTCATCAGAGGAATGCCAATCAAAACCACAATGAGATACCATCTCACACCAGTTAGAATGGTGATCGTTAAAAAGTCAGGAAACAACAGATGCTGGAGAGGATGTGGAGAAACAGGAACACTTTTACACTTTTGGTGGGAGTGTAAATTAATTCAACCATTGTGGAAGAAAATGTGGCGATTCCTCAAGGATCTAGAACTAGAAATACCATTTGACCCAGTGATCCCATTACTGGGCATATACCCAAAGGATTATAAATCATGCTGCTATAAAGAGACATGCACATATATGTTTATTGTGGCACTATTCACAATAGCAAAGACTTGGAACTCACCCAAATGTCCATCAATGATAGAATGAATTAAGAAAATGTGGCACATATACACCATGCAATACTATGCAGCCATAAAAAAAGATGAGTTCATGTTCTTTGCAAGGACATGGATCGAGCTGGAAACCATCATTCTAAGCAAACTATC